>NC_000020.11:8096638-8248153 GCF_000001405.40 Homo sapiens | reverse complement strand
CACCTGAAATGGAACCCAGATGTGTCTTCTTTCCCTTCCTTGGCCTGCTCCTCTGCCAGTCTCTCCTGAGATGCTTCCCTAATAAATCCCCTGCACATAATCCTCATTTCAAGGTCTGTTTCTGGGGAACACAATCTAGGACAGAGGACTAGTTTATCAGCTGGTCAGCCCCAAGAAAGAGAGGAAGTGAAAGAAGAAGAAGGATAATTTTATACAGCACTTACTCCTTCCAGACCCTGCCCTAGGCATTCTGTATGGATTATCTCATTGGCTCTTACCCAAGGGTAATATAGGTGCAATCTGGACACTTGAAAGAAAACCCTAAAGCTAAGATGAAGAAACACAAGGACGTCTGCACAAGTGGTCCTTTGTCATTTAGTCACCACTCCTGATCTGACTTGAGAGGGTCATTTCCTATGCTGCCCTTGCTTTTGAGAGTAAAAAAATATTGAGCATTTACTACTATGTTCCAGGTATTAGGCAAAAGTGTGTGTGTGTGTGTGTGTGTGTGTTTGCGTGTATGTGTGTGTGTGTGCTGTATTAAATTGTCTAAGTTCACTCATGTTATTTATAAATGGTGGCACTGGAATTTGAATCTTAGCCTGGCCAATTCTTAAATTCATGTTTTCATTTACTATATGTGAATTAAAAAATAAAGCAACATTCACTAAGCTCCTAATTTAAGATGGTTTTCTAAAGCTCCTTCATTTAACCATTTAAAATTTCTAATGATTTCTAAAGATACCCTCATTTCTATGTCACTAGGCCTTCAAGAAGAAATGATATGTTGAATGAATGAGTTAGAGAATATGTCATTTTAAGCTGTATAAAGAAAAAAAGAGAAATCTGAAAATCAAATTGGATAATTCATATGGCTGAGGGCCAAGAAATAAGAAACCCATGCATCTCAGGTGATGAACCCTTTATGAAACTGATAGATATTTCCTATGCCTCAGTTTACTCATCTGATAAATGTCTTTTCTTGGCACAATAGGGCAAAGGTTTTGGGAACTGATAGTATTGAGAGAGGATGCTAAAGGTGTAGGAAGTGTGGTAATATTGAGAATATGACAGTGCTCCTTGGAAAATGCAATTCACAAGTATTGTAAGCCATCTGTATTAAAGAATTAGTTTTGATACCTTGATTATCTAGCCAAACAGACCTGCTGCTGTGGAAAACCACAGTATAATATCCTGTCTTCTGGCTACCTGAGAAATAGAGATTAAAATCATTGCAGACATAAGGACTTCAAGAGCATGAGGGTAGCTCTAAAGAGTGGAAAGATTCAGTTCAGCTTAGTCATTCAGAGGAAGCAAATCCTCATCTCAGAAAAAAATTCCCCGAGAAAAGAAAACCAGCCATTTGCAAATTAAAAGATAAAAACTATGTACAAGGTATTCTCAGCAGAAACACATATGCACACACATACTTACATAGTAATAATAAAAAATCAGTGTCCAGGCTCTATGGGATGAATTAAATAAGGTAGTAAGAAAATTTATTTTGCTTTGCTTCCTACACTGAATGAAATAGCTGCAATTATTCCTCAACCTCTTTCTTTGCCTTCTGCTATGTGTCCTGGTAGTAATTCCCATCAGGTGGTTGAACCTGAGATCACTTTGTGACTTGCTTTAACAGAAAATGTGGTGGAAACCATGCTGTGTCAGTTCTAACAACAGGCCTCAAGAATTCTTGCATGTTTCTACATTCTCTCTTGAAACCATACCCCTACATGTGCATAAGCCTGAAAAGGCCTGCTGGAGGATAAGCGCTTTATGGCTCAATTGCCCCTATTTTCATAGCTGAAGTCAATCTTCAGAGCAAAGCAACCTAGCTGACTCAGCAGCTTATCATAGATGCTTGAATGAGCCCAGATGCAACAGAAGAACCCTGCTGCTAAGCCCTTACCAGATGATCACATAATCAGAGCCTAAATATGTAGTTGTAATTTCAAATCACTACATTTTGGGATGGCTTTTGCACAAAAATAGCTATCTGATGCATGTCTTTTGTGTTTTAAATTTTAGTATTTTTTATGATTGGCAATGTAATGAGATCATTCTCCTATAAACCACCCTATTTCATGTTACCAATGAATGCTCATGTACAAAATAAAAGGTACGGTGAACATCATATTTGAGAAGTAATATTGCATGGTAGATAAAAATCACAGACACTCAAATGGAAAATCCAGGATTTGAATCTGAGGTCTCCTGCTGATTTTGTGAAAATTATTTCAATTTTTTCTTAATTCCCTCATTTGGAAAGAGTTAAAAGAATAATACTACACAGTACCACATTTCGTTATTGTAAATATTAAATAAATACATGAAAAGACCTTAGAACAGTGCCTCACCTACAGCAAGTACTAAACACAAACAAATTTGATTGTTAACAATGGCAATGCTCTTTCCATCATACCAAACGCATACACTCTTACATATAGTCTTTTTGATTCTTATAATTGCTCTGTATTGTGAGTGGCCAAGTATAAATTTATCTCCCTTTGATGGATGAGGAGACATGGGCTCAGACCATCTAAGTGACAAACTCTGATTGCTGTTTCTGAGGCCAAAGCTTTCTCACTGTAGTACACAAAAGACCTTGCCCAACCAAAACCTATAAACAAAGAACTGCTTAAGTAAATTATGCTATATCTACAGCAGGGACTACTGGGCCACCATAATATACAAGTTGACTTACAGGAATTTCCATGAAGTTTTACTGGGTGAATAAAAGCAAAATGCAGGGAAGTTTGCATACTATAATATCATTTTTATAGCACAAAGACAAATAAAGCTGTACTTATCTATGAATGTTAGTATGTGTGGGTGTACACATATACACCCATACACACATATTTATGTGATAAGTATGCCTTATTATATGAGCTTACATATTAAGTAGGACACACATAGGTTGTGACAATAGAGAGGTAAAGTAAAAGAGGTAGAAGAAACAGGGAAAACATTTTCAAAAAAGACTGCACCAAAATGCTCCACAAGCATGCATAAGGCTCTATTTACAAGAGTGGGTATATATTTATATACATATAAACATTTTAAAAGTAAAAACTCTGCTTAAAATTAAAACACATTTTTTCTTCTTCAATGTATCTAATTGGATATGATATAAAATATAAAAATATTACTTGTCATACATCCCCCCCTCCAAAATAGAACCTCTCCTAAGCCACACTATTTTACTATTTTCACAATATAACAAATTTCCTTTTTTGCAATAAACACAGACAAGTTAAAATCCCTTTGTATTTGCCTGGATACTTCCATTGCATCATCTCCTCTCCAGTTTGGCCCAGAACCAACCTTTTGTACTAGACTTAGCCTCTCTCTTCTCTGTGGAATTGGAAAGGAGAAAATAATGTGTTGTGAAACATTTTGAGGTATAAAACATATATTTCATACTTTTACTGCGGTATAGCATATACATGGGGAAGTATCTAACCTTCGTGCACAGTGGGATGAGTGTTTGCATATGTACACACTCATGAAAGCACCACTTAGACATCTCCATCTCCAAAATTATCAGGCACCCCTTTCCTGGAAAAACCCTCCCCAGGAAGAGAGTGGGTTACTCTTCTGATGTCTACCAGCTTCAATTAGTTTTGCCTTTCTTGAATTTCATATACAAGGAATCATATTTCTCTTTTGTGTCCTATTTCTTCCACTTAACATGACATTTCTGAAATTTTATCCATATTGTAGCATGGATTAATAGTTCATTCTTTTTATTGCTGAACAGTATTCTATTTTGTGAATATACTACAATTTGTTTATCTATCCAATTGTTGATAAATAATTTATTGTTCACAGTTTGGGGCTATTACAAATACGACTGTATGATTATTCTTGTAACCATCTTCTAGTGGACACATATGATCATTTATCTTAGACTGATACAGTAGATATATGTAGGGCACAGACAAACATTAATAAATAGTTTTCCAAAGTGGTAGTAGCCAATTTACACTGCTACCAGCAATGCACTAGAGTTCTCGTTATCTATATCTTTGCCAAATGTGGTACTGCCAGTCATTCAATTTTTGCCATTCCAGTGGACATGTAGTATATCTTTACACTGATCTAAAGTAAATGTCAGTATGACTTTGTTATATTAATTTTCACCATGACATTCTCTGATACAAAAGAGTATAAATCTGATCTTAATTAGTAAAAACCTATTCTTTCAATTATTAAAAAATTAGAGAACCACATTTAATTTTGAGGTCATGCATAAAAATTATGAGGAAACTGAAATTATGCCATACAGATTCATTACTAACAGCACACCACTTTGGTGGTATTAGAAAACATTTGTTTTCAATTCTAAGAGAACAGCTAAAAACAATTACTATAGGCCTTTAGCATTTGACCTTATCACAAGTTTTGGGGAGGAAAATATTCTTGATCTCTGATTCCATAGCCAAGTTACAAAGCATTCCTATGTGCATTGCATATTCTTAATGAACAAAATAGAGTGGTTTTTAGGAATTAAAGTGCTTGTAAATCAGATCTGGAGTTAAATAAAGTAAGCACCACAAAGCATATGGCTTGTCTCTTTAAAGGTTCTATTTATATCCATTGGATGACAACCATTAGGAGGTACATAGCTCCCTTAGCCGGAGTTATAGACGCCTAAAAATATATTTCCTGGCTTCCACCAGGAACTGGCAGGGTCTCAAAAAGAAGTTCATGGTTTGGCCAAAATACAACCATTCTTTCAGACCTATGTTGCCTGCATTACAGAATGGCTAGGTCCTATTAGTACAAGAAGGAAATATTTAGATTTGTGTTAGAAAATTAACCTTTTCCTCTTTGCATTTGTAGTCTAAGGCAAGCATTGGGAATCATCGGCCATTTGCCTAGCACAAGCTTTAAAGTAGGTTCCAGAATCAGTCTTATCCACAGAAGTGCTGGGCTTGCTTCTAGAGTTTTCCCTACCGAACAGAACTCATCTGTTATTACTGTGCTCCAGCAAACACCAAAACTTTATCTTAGGTCGTGATATTTTTTAACTGTTTCACCACCTGATAATATGACCTAGCCACCTGGAAGCTGAGTGAAATCCTATCACAAACCCACAGATAGCATGCCCGTAACGATGCAAATTTAGATTTGAGGCTACTGGCCACTGACTTCCTGTTTTTCTCCAAAATTCCCCACTTCTCATCTCATTAACTTCCAATTAACATAGCTTCATATCTTATCCAATTCACTCTGCACACCCCATTTGTAGCCTTATGGCCATTATTCCCATAGCACAATTGAACCAGAGATGACATTTCCAAACCAGAAGCATTATGTCTCTCCTGACATTCAGGTTCCTCCTCCTTCTCCTTTCTTTATGTCCCAAAGCCACACAACCTTGTCCCTATCCCTGGAGCTAAAAGCTGCCTTTATAACCAGTCAATAAATCCTGCTTTTCCTTCTTTCAAGGTAACTTCTTGCATCCTCAGCAATTGCCATTCCTCTCTTTTCTCTCTAAGTCGACTAATGTATCCCTAGGCCTCTATTGTTACCATTACCTTTCAGCTCACCTCTGGCGCTCAGCCTCTCCACCCTTTCAACTTGCCATATATCAAACACCTTTCCCTTGCAAACTTCCCCTCTCAATTAGAGGATCAGGTGCCTGGTTTTGCAGTGGCCTTTAAGTACTCCTTAGTAAGTCTGACCACATTGACCCCTCACTTCTCCTGTTCCTTGTGGTTCAAATACTAATCATTGCCTTCTTAGAGGAGCTGCTTGTGCCATGATATAAAAGAACCTGCTCCCAGGCTGAGGTAAACAAGAATCTGAAAGCATTATCCTCATCATAGCTGAGTGGACCAGGGATAGACATCTGGCCCGTGGAATCTGGCACTGAGGCCTAGTGATGCTAGTAGCTGGAATCTTTGCTGCAGCTGATGTGACCACACGCTGGGTAGAGCAAATAAGCCATTCTGCAGAGAGAAAAAAAATAAAAACAACAACAACAGAAACATGTAGCAGGAAGGTCAAGGGAGAAAGAAGAGACACTAAGTTCTCTGGAGAGACACAGGGAGTCCTTCTAGCTCCTGACTCCTAATATCTGGCTGTTTATCATGAGACCCCAATGAGTTTCTTGCCAATGCCCTTTATCCTCCAAAATTATACTTCCCAAAGCCAGTTGAACAGAGCTCTGTTCTTGTACATTAACCCAGTGAAAGCATGTGTGTACCATGCCTGTCTTCATCTGTGCCTTTACACAGACTACTCTCCCTCTTTAAATGTGGAACCCTCCTCCTTCAATCATCTAAATCTCAGCCACCTTTTGGGACTTAGCTCCAACTCTGCTTCTTCCAAGAGGACTTCTTTGCTCCAGTGTTCACTGATTTCTACTGAGGTGGGAGGAAGGGTGGTAGAAAGAAGTAGGGAAAGCTAGAGAACCTCTGTGTATACTAGTTGATGTGTTATTCTCTTTCTCAGCCTCCATTTCCTGATACGGAAATCAAACAAAACAAGACTTACAACATGGGTTGTAAGTCTTGTGAGCATAGATTAGATAACATACATAAAAATGCCTAGCCCAGCTCCTTGCCTCTACTCGGTGCCTAATTAATATTTCATTGCACTTCTTGTATTTTTTTTACTCCTACAGAACTTTGCTTCAACATCAAGCTGACATTAAGTGACTACAAAGACATAATAGTTTTCCAAAAATTCACTCGATGTCAGCCCAGTTGTCCTCAAACACGAGAGCGTTCAAGTGCTGTGCTCCTCCATGTGAAGAGAGAAAGAGGACCCAAAATGAGGTTAACCAAATGCTTAGCCAGGATCATCAGACAATTGTGACCCAACATGACATTAGGATAGAGAAGGACTCATAGAGAATGAACCCAAACCCCATTAAAATTATCTTTCCTGGAAAGTAGAGGCTTAATTTTTCAAGTAGATTACTTGCATTCTTTTTATCAACTCACTATGCATATTTTTCTTACATTTGGGAATACATCAAGGGAAGAAATAAAGATGATTCTGTTGATAAATTTCTAAACCAGGAGAAATTCAATTACATTAGGAAATACCCAAAACATGAAAATGTTGGCAGATATGTGATCACAGGATCACATAACCTGGAAAAATAACCTAAAACAGACAAGTAAAGAATCTCGTGTTCACCATAGTTTCCCAAAACCCATAATTTGGCAATTATACTTCTGTTTGTATTCAACTCATTGATTTAAATGACCAATCAGAACTGGTTTTGCTTTGCTGGTAAAGAATAGGAAAAGTATGAAGCAAAATTTCATGGGGCTAGTTTAATATACATTATTTTCTTCTTTTATAAATTTGGAAAAAATTTGATGTAGACACTAGAAATCTATAAAGGAAATAGGATATTTGATTTCTAGTTCCTAAATTGTTATGCTATCTGGCAAGCTATAAAATCTCTGTGCCTTACCTTCTTAACCTTCTTAATTTCTAAAATTAAAAGGCTGCTATACTATCATCTTGAAGGATAAGTTGGCAATGCCACTTAAAATGTAAAATGCATTTACGCTTCCCTATGTATCCCAAAGAAGGCCAATACTTATGCACAAGGAGGTGTGTGCATTCCAGCATCATTGGTAACAGAAAAAAAATTAAAACAAGCCAAATATCCATTTAAGGAGAAAGTGAAAAAAATGATGGCGCATCCATGTGATGAAATATTGTGCATCAAATAAAAATAGTGAAGTAGCTCTAGGCATACTGATATGCAAAAATCTCTAAGATACATCACTAAGTATAAAAAGCAAAATGCAAAAAAATGCTATGTATTGAACATACATTAAATACTGCATATTAAGCAAATGTGTGTGTGTGTGCGTGTGTGTGTGTGTGTGTGTGTGTGTCAATATCATGAAAATTTTGGAAGGTTTCACAGCAAACTGATAACGGTTAACCTGTGTTGTTGTTTGGGAGACTGAGAGGTGTTGAGGAAGTTACTGACCTCATTCACACAGCTTTTGTTTTTTTTCATGAAAAAAAATCATAGATTATGGTTGTAATTACAATTCGTTTTAAAAATCAGAGGCATAGTCTAAGTAATCACTAAGTCTTTTCCCAGTTCTATGTTTAATAGAAAACTATGGATAATTTGTTTTCAGAAATCTGAATGTCTCTTGGTCTGCTTTGTAAACCATAACTGATTTATAAGCAAATCATTGGGAATTACCTATCGTCTTAAAAGGAAGTAGCATAAATGTGAAATAGTTTTATAGATTTGTACCCAAAACCTTAGAGCTGTGGGCAAGATATTTAACACAGCCTCCAAATCAACATCAACAAAAACCCATTTTACAGTGCATTAGTGGCCACAGTGCTAAGGCTCTTTGTGAACTGAATTGTTGCCAATTCTATCACAAAATTCTAAGGCATAGAATAAAATGCTATTCTTTGTGTTTAATAAAAAGGATCTCCTATCAAGCATCGTATCTTTCCTAAGTGTTAACCAATAAACTCAGTACCCTATTCAATACTCTTTTTCTCAAGATTTATCTCACAGCTACATGAACTGACTTTACTTTTTTTTTTTTTTAAGTACCAGAAAGAGGAAACACAAAGAGAACACTGAAGCACTATTTGGTAAAACTACATGCAATTTACTAGAGACAAAACTTAACACTTTTCAAACTGCATTTGGTACTCTCTCTAATTTATCCACACCCACCACTGGCTTATTTGCAAACATCACTAAGCTGGTGCCTATTCCTTACACCGGATGGTGACTTTACAAAAGCATATTGTTAGCACTGCCTTGCCTAAGATGGCTTAAATCATCATTTCTGTCCTTACTATATAGGAAGGTTAATGACTGAAAGTTCATGAGAAGGCTTGTTGATGACTTTGGGTCTCTTCTTATCCATCACATTCCAACTAGATTTTAAGTTGCATTCAATACTCATCGGACCACATATTTCTGTTCTGGAAGGCGTTAGTTCCCTGTCCACCTCAGTCTCATCCTAGCTCTGAGAAATAGGTGCTCCTTCTCTTTTCCAGGGCTCATCCCGGTCCTGGTATACTGCTCCAATCTCCTCCTGCTTTCACTTAGGGTTCTTTCTGTTTACTCAACTATCCCCTCTTTTTCCTGTATTTCAGTGTTCCCCTCTCTCCTGCTTCCTTTTGCTCTACCTAAAGACATGCTCTAGTCTCCCTAAATATAAATAAAAGTCTTTCGACCAATGATGCTACACTCTTAAGTCCATAGTCTTCCATTCCTCCCCAGGCCTTAGCTTCTGCTTCTCGGGGTCTGATGTCTTCCCCCCAGCCACCCATTTACTCAATGGACTCCACCATCCCTAAGATTACCCATTTCTATATACTTTTAGGCCCAGTGGCTTGTCTCAGTTATCATTGCCTCAGGTCTGTCTATAACATTTGAAACCACAGGCCAAACACTTCCCGCAATTTTGCCCCCTTTCCGTTTTCCTTGAGCCTGTCTTATTTCATCTTTTTTTTAAAACCAATTAACTGACCTCTTTTTCCCCTTTCATCCTGCATATGTTAATATGAGTCCTTGTACATATTGTCTTGTTCCTCACTTTGTATATATAAAGGTGAGTCCTTATACTTCTGTCTAGCTCTTCTGAGAGACCTCATCTAGTATATGACATCTGGCATGATAGAGAGATGGAAACAGCATTGTTCATAATGTAGTTTATGTGAATGATAAGCCCTGGAGCTTAACTTCAGATAAGAGAATGAGAAGAGCATCCCCTGGGTTTGGAACTGTGCAGAGGCTCTGCACTAACCTGGAATTCATTGCCTTCATAAGGTTTAGCTGTCACTTTTAGGTAACTGACTCCTATATGAGTATCACCTCACTGACATGTCTGATTCAGGAGCCAATTACATATTCCCAAATGCCTGCTGGATACTTCCACGCAGGTAAATTGTCAGCTCCTCAAATTATCTTACCTGAAATCACAGTCATACCTTGGCTATTCCCACCAACACCCTCCAAGCCACTTCTCCTTCCAGGAAGTTTAAGAGTACAAATCATTACTCGTTCAATTTATTCACCTCTCTAACTCCTACAGGGACACCATGAGTGCATAACTCACATGGAAAAGATTTCGTTGAGTTTCAGACCATTCATTTTCGTCTTTGAGAATAATTTTAAATTCTTAGAAAAGAGTCAAATATTAAATTCAAATCTGTCTGTCTTTCAAAGGCCATCTTTAACTTGTATATCTTAAATCTTTCCCCAAGACATTACACAATCTTTTTATAAGAAGTTGGCAGGATTAATTTTTTAAAAGTTGACACTTCATTGTTTTTGCAAAGAAAAAGACAATTTTTGCAGAGGTATGACTGTTAAAACTGGGATCCCATTTACGTAATTAGTTAGCTAATTAATCCCATGGTTGGTGCCTGATTATATTGCAGATTCTATTTGTGTCTACATCAGGGTAAATGAAAAACTAGATTAGCCAATTAAGTAGTAATGGGGAAACCAGTAAATGGAGATTTCTCCTTTAAACTCTGAATTAAGATATAGTTATAATTATTTCATTTCTGCTTTCTGATTTTAGAAAACAAAATGTCCATTGTAAAATACAATGAAATATGATTTTTATCATGATGTTATAAAAGTAATATATGCTTGCTGTAGAAAAACACTTGCAAATGTGAGGCAAGTACAAGTAAGTAAATTAAAATCATTTATAATCACACAAGACAGAGAAAACCACTGTTACTTTCGTGCATGTCCATATGACTTCTGGGCATTTTTTCTTTTTAAAAAATAAGATCTTATTGTTCATTTTCCTTTGTAATCTGCATATTTCCCTTGACACTAGAGCATGAACATATTTATATATTATTTAATTTGGTAACAGCTTTCTTAATGTCTGCCTACGATTCCACTATTGACATATATTATGATTATTTAATTTATTCCTTTGGCTGAATACTTACAGTTTATGTTTCAATTTGTTATACTATTGATCAGTACTACAAGCAATTTCCTTGCAATGTCTGCCTACTTTCATTATAATTTCCTTAGAATAATACATTAAAAATAAAATTTTTGAATTAAAGGGCTTGAGGACTTTCATGCTTGTGATAAATATGCCAAAGGCTACCAGAAAAGCTGAACCAATGTAAATTATCTGCAAAATACCTTGGAGTGGTATTTAACCTCCCCACTGTCAACCACTGGAACTTTTAGTTTTGAAAATAAGGGAAATTTTATGGGTGAAAATAATTATTGTTATAGTATGTATTTCTTTGATTATTGCTGAAATTAATAACTTTCTCATATCTATTTGTGTTTGCATTTCTTTCTTTCTTTGGGGGACTTTACTTTCCCATTCATATCGTTTACCCATATTTCTATTATTCTTTAATTTATAAAGGCTAGTACAGAATAAGGATTTAAAGTTTCTAAAATGTCATCTATTTTGCAAAAATATTCCAGTTTGTTTGGTTCGGACTTGGCATTTGTGAATTGTTTTGTGTAGAAGTATTTTTAAATAATGGTGCTATCAAGTTTGTCTTTACTCTCCTTTTGTAGTTTCTGCCTCTCATTGAATAATCCTGTGTTACCCAATTGATTTAGTACCTTTATTTTATATTAATTAATTAATTAATATTTTGAGATGGGGTCTTGTTCTGTTACCCAAGCTGGAGTGCAGTTGTGAGATTATAGTTTACTGCAACCTCAAACTCCTGGGCTCAAGCGATCCTCCCGCCTTAGCCTCTCGAGCAGCTAGAACTGCAGGCAGGCACCACTACCCATAGCTAATTTTTTGAATTTTTTGTAAAGACAGGGGTCTCACTATGTTATCTGGGCTGATTTCAAACTCCCGGCCTCAAGCCATCCTCTTGCCTCAGCCTCCTAAATTACTGGGATTACAAGTGTGAGTCACTGTGCCTGTGTTATTTTTTATAGTAATTAGTGTATTTATGAACTTTCTATTCTGTTTTACTGATGAATTGATTTCCATATCAATAGAGTGCTATATTAGTTGTCTTACACTATATTTGAAATTTTGGTTGGCATAATTCCCTCAGCATTTTTTAGTAGTTTCTTCAAAAAATTTCAAATTAACTTGAGTCATTTTCCAAGTTTGAAAAACACCTTCCTAACTTTAACTGAATTTGTAGTAATTTAATTTGGAAAGAACATGTATCTTTAAAATATTATTCCTTCCAGAAATATAGTGCTTCTACTTATTTAAAACTACTTTGGATTGCCTTGAGAGTTTCAATTTAATACAAGAATCCTATACACGCCTTAAGATTTTTTTTAAATATAGGTCCTTTATATTTGAGCTTGAGGTTTTGAATGTCAGCTTCACTAACTTTTGATTACTGGACATAAAAAACTTTCTCATTTTATAAAAGTATTTTAGAAATAATTTCCGTGTTGAACTCTTCCTTGGGATTAACATTTTAGTTGATCTTGTTTTTTCAGGGTAGACAGTCATCTCATACGCAAGTTATAAAATGACAATTCTAATATTTATAGTGCTTAATTCATTTTATTAAGCAGTGTTCAATAATAGGGACGTGCACGAATAACTTTGGCTCTCTCCCAATTTAGAGACATGCTCAAGAATGTTACTATCATGTATGATGTTGTTGGTTTGTGATAGCATCTTACTATTTCTAATTTGTAAGAGATTTTTAAAATTATTAGAATTTTGTCACATCTTTTTGTTGCCTTATCAGTATGATCATGTGGCTTTCCTCTTTTTATCTGTAGAAGTAATAATTATATGGATATATTTTCCAATAATAAAACATTCTTACATTTCAGAATCAATTTCTATTATGTGGTATTTTTATTATACTGCTAGCTATTATCTAAGGACAACTTCAATCTTAATTTACCAGTAGAATAATTCTGCAACATGCTTTAGAAATGGAATATTTTATGTGAATTACTAGTAAATAATGCACATTATATTTTTATTCTCTCTAAGCTCCACATATATCTCTAAATGGCTGGAAAAGGCTCTGAATAATATCTCAGACACATACTTTGAAAGATAGCCACATATGGTGCATATATTCAGAAATGTCCAATAAACAGTTTAACCCAGAAGGAAGTTACATGAATTTAGGCAACATGGTGCTCTGTTGTTATCTTTGAGGAGACATAACATGTAAAAATCATTATTGAAAAATCACTACTCATCAGGCATATTCACTATGTGTTTCTGAACCCCTCAAATTGGATTCTTACAAGGAGACATACACATTCTAAACATAATATAAAAAACAAAAGGGGTTAAGCCAGTAAGCATTATATTCCGGGTGACAGTTAGCATCATGGCAAAAAGAAACAGAAATTCACTCACACTGTCTCTTGAGACACTGATAATCAGCCAAGAGGTCTATTTTTAGTTAAATACTGTTTCTAATCTAGTGATCTTCTACTCTAAAACAATTTATCAACCATTGCCAAATCCACAAAGTCAAAGCAAAGACAATAGAGGCAAAAAAAGAAATCTGGATATTCAAACACAGAATTTCATGTTCACTAAAGTATGCGTATGTCTTGGAACAGGGGTAGCATTCTGAAATATTATATCCAGCTCTAGGAATAGTATTTAATAGGACGTGGAAATTTCACAGTTGACCTTTAATGTGGTACTGCATTGAGAAGGAAGAAGTTCAAAAAGGGTAAAGTGTTACATTCCATTAGTGGCTGGAAATTTCAGGGAAGAATAAGCAAAATGAACACATGACAGGATTGCAAATTCATGCACCCAGCTAACCAGTAACAACCAAATTTGACAATCATACACTGCATATTTCTGTAACACTATTTCTGTAACTCCACCCTGCTCCCTTTTATTATTGTTGTTGTTATTATTATTATTACTTTAACCTTCTGGTTAACTCCTGCATGCTCCTCAAAACTCAACACTTTTAAACCATTTTGGAAAACCATTTGGCAATATCTATTAAAGCTAGGTATAGGCACTCCCTTTTACCAGCAGTGTCACCAGCTCGTGAGCTGATTGCATACGTCTCTTTCCCATTCCACCTTCAATCCCACAAATGCCTATAACTCAGCAGTTTCACTCTAAGACACACACCAAGCAGAAATTTTTACATGTGTGCAAGAAAATATGAACACTAGAATACCCATAGCAATGCTATGAACTATGATCCAAAAATGAAACTATCCAACTGCCCATAACAGTAGAATGAATAAATGGAACATCCACACAATGGAATATTATACAGCAATGAGGATTACAATCGCATGCAACAATGTGGGATGAATTTTACAAACACCACGTTGAGTGAAAAAATGTGGACACACAAAAAGAGTAGATGAGTTTGTTTCATTGACGTAAGAATAAAACAGGCACAGCTTATCTATGCTGTTAAAGCCAGAAGATTAGCCTTGGGTAGAGAGGCAGCAGAATTCAGGAAGGGAGCAGGGTGGTGGGAGGAGGGTGCAGTTAGGGGGATGTGAGGACCTCTGGGATGCAGGAAATGTCCTGTTTCTTAATGTGGTTATCAGACTGCTGGTTACAGGGATGTGCTCATCTTGTAAAAACTCACTGAGCTATACTATTTAGAAGAGTGTACCTTTTTAACTGCATTTTATATTTCAAGAAAAGGTAAAGGAAAGAAAAAAATAATCAACTTAACCAAGTTATCAATTTCTAAAGAGGGTTTCCGCTATTTTCGAATGCCTGTCTGCCTCACCAAGTGGTTATGAGACTTTAAATAGAAATGTAAACTATATAGAAATTACAAGCACCTTGCCTGGCACACAGTACACTGTTACTAAAAAGGATTCATTCTTATTGTCTTTCTCTGATTTCCCCCTTATCTGTGTTCCATATCCCTTTGTATATCCATTTCTCACTGTACAATAATCATGTTTTTGCTTCATTATTATTCCCATTAGATGACCAGCAATTGATGAATATGACATCTTACTGTATCCACTGGAGCTATCCCAGAGCAGGTATTTGATAAATATTTGATGGGATTGAATAAATGACTGTAACAAAGCTTCACGGTTTTGTGATAAGTAGGATCCCAGGTGATTTGGTGGTCATGCTCTCAATCCATCTAACTGGCCATATGGTTGAGTTACAGAGGAAGCTGAAAGCTGCCTAGGACCAAGAGTGTGACAGGGCTGAGGCAACCATCTCCTGGAGTGAGAGAGGGAGCTGATTCTTTGCAGTGAAAAAATGTATACATATTTCCACTTAGAGCCCAGCCCATAGCATAGTGGCAGATTCACATTGCAATGCCAGCGCCAGCTGCTAGAAGGGTATTGGACCATGCCTGCAGAGATTAAAGGTAGGTCAAATCTAGAAAAACATTGCAAGAAGTGCTAAACCAAGAAAGGAGAGAGGACTTAACCATCTTTCCTCCAGTCCAAAACAAGAGAATGCCAATATTAGGACAATTAGAGCTAGGTGTGTAAAGACATATCAGGTAACACTGGGCAGAAATGGTGCCCAGCAAGAAGCACAAATACTATAAGGCCCAGACTTTCAGAATGCACGAAGTGGGGGATCAGGCTTCTGAAAGGATTCCAGATAGAAGAAGAGCAAAGCAAATGAGAGACTCCAAAGCTGTTGCAGGCCTGGATGGCAGAGAACTTCCAGTTCTTCTCTACTTGGCTCGAGAAATACGGTAGAGCTAAACTAGGTCACCATCCTATAACATTGCTCTAGTGCCAGGGAACTTACTAGTGAAGAGCAGAGCAGCAGACATCAGAGTTTACAGCTTTCAAATCAAGAATATCACTGTCTTATAATTTTGCATTTGATTGGTTATAAATGATGGAACTTCAAAATTCTATCTTTATCTTAAGATGCTAATGATGGCTGGAGTAGGACCTAAGGAAAGTGTCCAGATGTAGAAAAAAATGAGGAATCTGAAAGCATGATCTTTTCTCTCTCTCTCTCTCTCTCTCTCTTTTTTAAAGAGATGCGCTCTTGCTATGTTGGACAGGCTGGAGTGCTGTAGCTTTTCACGGGCACCATGATGGTGCACTACAGCCTTGAACTCCTGGGCTCAAGCAATTTTCCTACCCTGGCCTCCTGAATAGCAGGGACTACAGACGCACACCACCAAGCCCTGCTGGAATGCATAATCTTTTAGGTTTCTTCCAAATTCTGAAACCATGTGTTGACAGCTGGCTGAAAAGATGATAGATTGGCGACTCTGACCCATAGCTAAAAGCTATATAAAATAGTTACATAAGATAGAGCTATTTTACATACATATATACAGTATATATAAAATAGCTAATAAAACTGAGCATCACAGGGAGGCTGTTACATCTGATTCATTCCCAGTCCCAGTCTTCATTTTAAGAGGTTGATAATTTTGTCTATCCCTCTACTGTGGATCAGCCAACCAAACCAACTGGCCACGGGAGACACCTATGATCAATGACTGCCCTGCACAGGGCTCTCCTGTTTGGTCAATGGGTTCACTCATGAAATAGAATTAGACTTGGGAATGTGTTGCTTAGACTTGGGAATGCGTGCAAAGAAGCAGAATAAAAGAAAGAAGAAACAAAGGATGCAAGGAAAGAAGAAACACCTGCTGACAACAGATTTCCTAATCAATCATTCATTCAGCATGTATACCAACATAGTGCCAATTGTGTGCAGGACCTATGTACCATGCTGTGGTTTGAAGTGTCTCACAGACCTCAAGAGGCTCTCCTTAGAAAACAGATAGGTCTAAGGTAGTGGTTCTTATGCATTGGTGATTTTGCTCCCCAGGGAACATTTGACAATGTGCAGATATATTTCTGATGGTCACAACTGGGGAGGTTACTGACATCCAGTGAGTAGAG
This sequence comes from Homo sapiens, assembly GCF_000001405.40. NCBI lineage: Eukaryota > Metazoa > Chordata > Mammalia > Primates > Hominidae > Homo > Homo sapiens. The sequence goes on along the minus strand of NC_000020.11, from coordinate 8,231,334 downwards.
GTTAGGAATGAGACTAAACATTTTACAGCTCACAAGACAGCTGTCTACTTTCCCAAGAAAGAGTTATCTTATCTGGCCCCAAATGTCAATAGTGCTGAGGCTGAGAAATGCTGATCTAAATGGAGAGAATAAATCAACAGCAAAAGCATGTGATACATGCATACATAGGCTTCTACCTAAGAAATGAAAGGGGACAATCTAAATTGTGGCAGGGTTGCAGCATGGGATGGTTTCTAGAAAAGCTTTCTGGAGCAGCTGACCATGAGGTAAATTTTGACACAGAGATTAGTTGAAGATTATGGAGAGGTGAATGGAAAGAAGGGAATGGAAAAATAGTGGTCAAGGTAAAGGAACAATGAGGGTGATGGTGCATAGGAACTAAATTACGTAACTCATTGTGTTAGAGACAAGGGCCAACCTGGTGCACCATGGTTTGGGGGCTTGAGAGGTAGGCAGGGGGTAGTTCTGCTAGATGATGAGATCTCTGGATGTTAAACTAGAGTCTAAATCAGCAATGTGCAATCAAACTTCTTGCAGTTAAGAAAATGTTCTGTATCTACACTGTCCAACTCAGTAGCTACCAGCCACATGCGACAAATGAGTACTTGAAATGTGACTGGCGGGCTGGGAAAATAATTTTTGAACTTTAAATGATTTTTAAACTTTAAGTTTAATTGACATTAAACTTAATGTAAATTAAGTTTAATTAGCTGAAATTGAAATAAACACATGTGGCTAATACCTACCACTTTAGATAGAGCTGGTCTTGCAAGCTATGGAAAGATTAGTGGTGGGTACAAATATACAGTTAGATAAAAGGAATAAATTCTAATGTTGGACAGCACAGTAGGATGACTATACCTAACAATGATACATTGTATATATTGTTTATTTCAAAATAGCTAGGAGAGATTTGAAATGTTTCCAACACACACACAAAAAATGATAAATGTTGAAGGTTATGGCTATCCTAAATACCCTGATTTGATTATTACACATTCTAAGCATGTACCAAAAGATCAGGTGTATCCCATAACCACATGTATCCCAAATATGTACACATATTATGTATCAATTTAAAAGGATTAGTAGGATAGTCTGATCAGATTTGGACTTTAGATTGTCCTAGAAACATCCCAGAGTAGGGCTTCTACTTTTAAAGTACATAGGAGTCACCTAAGAAACTTATTGAATTGCACATTCTGTTTCAAGAGGTTTAGGCCTACTTTGTTTTCTGTTTTTCAGATTTCTTTTTTTTTTTTTTTTTTTTTTTTTTTTGCTGCCAAGTCGCAACTCTGTTGCCGAGGCTGAAGTGTGGTGATGTGATCATGGCTCACTGCAGGCTTGAATTCCTGGGCTCAAGTGATACTCCCACCTCAGCCTCCCAGGTAGCTGGGACTACAAGTGTGTGTCCCCATATCTGGCTAAATTATTTTTTTTATTTTATTTTTATTTTATTTTATTTTATTTTATTTTATGAGATGGGCTCTCACCATGTTGCCCAGGCTGGTCTCAAACTCCTGGGCTCAAGCGACCCACCCCCGCCTTGGCCTCCCAAAGTACTGGGATTACAGGTATGAACCACTGCACCCAGCTCAGATTCTTCATTTCTAGCAAGCTCTCATGTGAAGTAAGAACTGCTGGCTCATGGACCACTCTGTAAGTAGCAAGGGTCTACAGCAGTACTGTTCAATAAAACTTTCTGCGATGATGGAAATGTTCCATATCTGTGATGTCCAATATAGTTATCACTAGCCATACATGGCTACTGAATACCTGAAATGTGGCTAATGCAATGGAGGAATTGAATTTTTAATGAATTTAAGTTAAACTAATTGAAATTTAACTTTAAACATCTGCATGTGAGTACTGGCTATAGTATTGGACTGTGGATCTATATCAGTGCTACCTGAATTATGAACCAAGCTGTTTTAAAATCTCACAGGAAGATAAGTACAGAAACTGAGAGTAAATATGGGAACTTACAGAGCAAGTTGAGAGAGCAATTTTAGTCTATTTAAATTAATAATTATTTAAATTTTTAAAATAATGTTTTAAATATTTTTTAATATTTTGCATGCCTGGGTTTTTCTCATTTAATTGTTCTAATAATTCATGTGTATTATGTTTTATAGTAATATTGGACAGCAATGTATTCAGGAAAAAGCCTGCTCTTCTCCAGGAATAGAAAGATAAATACTGCTTGTGCTCATTCACATACGGAAGCTACAAACATTGATCTCTTAGAAGTAGAATAGAACAGTGGCTACTAGAGGGTGAGAAGAGTAGCGGGGAGGGTGCATGGGGGGATTTGTTAAAGGACACAAAATTACAGCTAGATGAAAGGAATGAGTTCTAGTGTTCGACAGCAATGTAGGATGACTGCAGTCAAAAATTGTATATATTTTCAAATATATATAAGACAGGATTTTGAATGTTCCCAACAAAACAAATTGTGAGCTTCTGAGGTGATAGATATGCTAATTACCCTGATTTGATCACTAGACATGTATCAAAACTCACTATGTACCTCATAAATATGTACAATTATTATATGCCAATTAAAAAATTAAAAACTGAAAAACAAGTGGAGAGTTCAGCCTGAGCAACATGAACCTTGTCTCTACAAATAGATAAATAAATAAATACAAAAAAAAATTAGTGGGGCGTGGTGGTGCACATCTGTAATTCCAGTATTCTGTGGGAGGCTGAGGTGAGAGAATCACTTAAGCCAGGGAGGTCAAGGCTGCAGTGAGCTGTGATCATGATCATGCCACTGCACTCCAGCCTGGGTGAAGGACCCAGTCTCAGAAACGAAACAAAACAGAAACCAGAGTTTGAAACACTGACCTGGAGGACAAATGCGGGGGTGGGGATGCACAGAGAAGGCAAGGAGACTTGTCAGGAGGCCATTCCAGCAATCCAGAAGGATAGGTGGATGGCAAGGAACAGAGAGGAAAGTGCAGCTTTGAGGGGAATTAAAAAGATGTGCTCTATAAAGGTTGGTGACTGAGTGGGTGTATGAGATAGTGGGGAGGTGGGTACTTGTATGAATAATCAGTGCTGGCCATTTAACCAAACATCCTCTTGCTGGGGTAAAAATTGTATGGGCCGATTGTTATTCATCTTTATTTTATTATTTTATTTTATCTTATCTTATTTATTTATTTATTTTGAGACAGAGTCTCACTTCTGTCGCCAGGGCTGGAGTGCAATGGCACAATCTCAGCTCACTACAACCTCCCCCACCCAGGTTCAAGCAATTCTCCTGCCTTACCCTCCAGAATTCGACTTTTATTTTTCACACTTTTTAAGTCTCCGAAGTTTGTCATTAGATTTTATGAGGGATAGAACCAACTTATTTAGATATGTTCAAATCATTAGAATATATTTAACTAGAATGATCATTTTCATATATCATTAGATATATTTTTGGATAAAATCTGGGAGTCACTCTTGCTTCATCCATGCATCAATAAGTCATCTCTTTGAGTGGGTTTTCCCAGAAAGTTTGCTAAGCCCATATATTTTATGTGGACTCTTGAGAGCATTAAAATCAGATTGACCATTCCCGAGCTTCAGTCCTAAATTTTTAGATTTGTTTCATTTGAGTCCTATGGGAATTTTTCTTTCTTGATTGCCAACCTGTACATAATGAAATGATATTTTTAAAGCGTGGCTGTTTCAACATTAAGCTAAAAAGCAATTTGTAAAAGTGTGGGTTGGTAGGGGTGAAGACAGAATTGGAGCTTTGCTGTCAGACAAATAAAATGGACTCACTGAGAGGGGAAGTGGCAAGGCATCGAGCAGCTGCCTGTAATCAGTTTTTAATTCAGGGATTGGTTGGCTGGAGTACCTGCTGTGAGGTCAGCAGTATGCTATGTGTTTGGGTGGATTGAGAGGAAACCAGAGGCTTAATTTCTGTGATCAAAAATCTGCCTGGTTGAGTGGAAGACAAATTTTACATACCAAGTGGCAGTGGGAAACAAGCACCTGGAGTTAATGAAATGCTAATGTAGACAGGCAAAGCCGCACCATCCTAAGAGTTTATTTATTGTTTTTGCTTTTCTCTTAAAATTATCTAGAAGCTTCCTCATTCATGACCTAGACTCATTCTGTCCAATATGGTAGCCTCTAGTCCTGCAATGTGGCTGGTCCAAACTAAGGTGTATTGTGAGGGAAAAATACACACTCTGGGATCCAGACTCTGTACCCATTCCTTCCCAAAAAAAGAAGACAAGGAGAATGTAAAATATCTCAATAAATTTTTATATTGATTACATGTTGAAATGATAACATTTCAGATGTTTTAGGCTAAATAAAAATATTTTAAAAATTGGTTTTACTTGGCCGGGCGCGGTGGCTCATGCCTGTAATCCCAGCACTTTGGGAGGCCAAGGAGGGTGGATCATGAGGTCAGGAGTTCAAGACCAGCCTGGCCAAGATGGTGAACCTCTGTCTCTACTAAAAATACAAAAAATTAGCCAGACGCAGTGGCAGGTGCCTGTAATCTCAGCTACTCGGGAGGCTGATGCAGGAGAATCACTGGAACTCAGAGGGTGGAGGTTGCAGTGAGCCGAGATTGCGCCACTGCACTCCAGCCAGGGAGACAGAGTGAGATTTCGTCTCAAAAAAAAAAAAAAATTAGTTTTACTTGCTCCTTTTCATTTCTCTTTAATTTGGCAACTAGACTATTTCACATTACCTGTTAATTTAAAGGAAGTCATTGCGTCAATTCTGGAAGACTGAAACAAGCCATGGAGAAGGAAGTAGGAGGTTATAATATAAAGGAGATAGAGAGGTCCTGGAAACTTCTTCAGGGAAATGCAGAAGATATGAGGAAAGCATCCAACTTTGAATCAATGATTCTAAAATCATTGCTATAGGCCCCCAGCTTCTCCTCATTCATGTCCTCCAAGCTCAACCTTCCTCCTGGCAGTGTGCTCAGTATGACCTGGGCACAGTCAAATGGCAAACGTGAGGGAGGTGACCAGGCAAAGGTGACCTCACAGGGTCCAACACACTACAGCTAGTGGAGAGAAAGCAGCAGGGAGTGCACAAGTACCAAGGGAAGCTGTAGGATTAGTGGACAGAAGTAGGTCTGGGGTTGGGGCCAGAGTTCACAGTGAAAGGTAAGCTTATGGCTCGAAGCAACAGTGAAGATCATCAACAGGGGTGTGAGAATGACCTGCAAAAGACACTTAATTTTCAATAACCACAGAAGACCTGGCTTGACATTAAACAATATAAGAGCCCTCAACCAACCAGTGACAACTGCAAGAACAAGATGGCCCTTACCATGTGCCTAGACACCATCCCGTGATGGAAGAGACAGAGAGGAAAACCCTTGTACAGGTTACAAATAAGAAGGCAGAAACTTAAGGCTGAAAAAGTTTTAAACGTGAAAAGACTGCAAGATATTTAACTGGTAACATCAAATATTTGCTGTGGTCAGCTTAAACAAAGATAAACTTGAAATGAAAAATCATTTAAACAAACACCTAATCGTGTCAGCTGTATTGTTATATCCTTAAAGTCACTGTCCCATCCAACTGGCAAAAGTGAGAACTGAAAGTGAGAACAACCTTGGCTTTCTCTGTTCCTTTCAAGGAATTTTTGTAGGTCTCAGTGATGAATTTCTTCAGATGAGCTGAGCTAAAATTGCCCATTGTGCCTGCCACTTGGCAGGTAAATCAAGAGAGCAAAAATAGCAGAAAGTAGACTCTATAATACCAAAGGTGAAAAAGTCGGTGAAGCTAAAAGTTCACTTTCAAAACACAGAGGGGATTCCAAGTATGCCAAGACACAAGATATCAAGAAACTATAAGATTATCTCGAATTCTAATATTCTAAAATACTATAAGCCTCAACATATTTAATTGGAAAATATGCAAGATGTTTGTTTCTTCACATGAGCCATAAAGAACTCAAAGACTCAGTTTATATAAATGGGACTCTCCCCCAATTTACAATTAGGCATTTAAAATAAGGTATCTTCACACTTCATTCAGACCCTATTGTAAAAAATCCAACTGCAGAAAAAAACAAAACAGAAGAAACAAAACAAAACAAAAAAACCCTTATGACACAATGGAGAAATGCTGATCCAAGATAGGATATTGAAAACATGTAATTACTGTTAAGTTCGTAGATGTGACAAAAAGAATCCTTTTCTTGCTGAGATACTTACTAAAATATTCATGGATGAAATGATAGGATGTTTGGGGAAAATAATCCATTGCCTTGGGGACAGCAGAGAATTAAGACGGTGTTTAGATCAAAGTATTTATGAGTTAAGGATGGTTTTAAAGAAGTGATGGACACATTAGGGTTCACTATACTTTCTCATATTTTGTGTACATTTGAAATTTTCCATAATGAGTGGTTAAAAAATGAATACCACAAGCATAATGAGCTGAAGAAGCCATGATATAAATGAGTACACACTGTGATTCCGTGTATATGAAGTTCAAAACCAGACGAAACTCATCTAATGAGAGGAAGTCAGAATATTCTACCTTGGTGAGGATGGATAGTGAATAGAAAGAACACACGGAGATTCTAGGGGTGGCGTGGTGGGCGGGGGGATGGTGCCAGAAATGTCTTATTTCTTGATCAGGCAATGGTTATGAGGTTGTTCAGTTTGTGAAAATTATTTTGAATTATAAACTTTATGATTTGTTCACTTTTCTGTATCTTTGCTATAATACCATCAAAAAGTTCTTTAAAAATTTTTTTTAAAGCTGATATGCTGCGTGATGATTACATAGGTGTCTATTACTATTAAATTCATTAACATTTATGGTTTATGCATTTTATGTGTGGTGTATACTTCACAAAACAAAAGATTTCAAAATGTAGTCTCAATTGCCTCAACCCAGCAAGATCACTATGAACAGCCTGAAGTTATTAGACTAATAATCTAGACGTTATTAGTCAAAAGCAAAATACTTTAATGTTTAGGTCTTGTCTATTCTCAAAATTCAAAGTACTTATTAAAAACCCTGTGGGTGCTGAACTGTTAACCCTCTAATCCACCCTTAAAGATAGATACGATCATTTTTAATTTATAGAAAAAGAAATGGTGGCTAAGAAGAGCTCAGAAACTTACCCGATGCCACAGAATTAGTAAGCCAGGACTCAAATCCACATCTACCTGGCTCAGAAGCCTCTGTGATTATTTCCATTTTACCACAATGATTTCCAAAACAAGCACCCAACAAATGTGCAAATTAAGTTACATGTTTATTTTACATTAAGCAGACTGCTTGTTTAAAATGTGGTTTCTGTTTTTAACCAAAATAACTCAAAATGAAAACAATTTGAAACTGTATGCAACTTTATAAGCAACTTTGAAAAATTCCCTTAACCTCACACATGCCAAATCTCACTAAAATTTACCTATTAATTCTATCCCTTTTGTGCTTTCTAGTGCATAATTGCTAGACGCCAAGCAAGCACTGTAGGGGTGAGGCCAATTATCCCACTTGAAGTTAAGATATATTTTATTCTGGAAGAATGAGAGTTCTTTGAATCAGGTTGGGGAAATTCATTTTTAAAACTATTAACTATATGCTTCCTTAAAGAAGACGTTTAATCTGCACGCATGTGTTTGAACTGAGTCACTCTTAAGAATGTATGCTCTTTTTGAATTCTACAAGTATTTGGATAGATGTTTACATACCCAAAACACAATCCTTTCCCATGGAATTTAACCAAGATTTTTTGCCCTGGGAAATGAAGAGACCTGGACTTAATTCAACAAAAGCAAATGTGCACAGTAAAACAAGTTTAAGGCTGAATTTCAAAAGTTGAGACACATTACAATCAGTAGTAAGCAGTCATTTTTCTATTTTCTAAGAAAGAAAAAGATTGAGAGAGAGAAAAAAAACTAAAAAGTCAAAGTTGAGACTCTATCAAGTCCTCAGGCTTGATTGTTCAATTTTGATTCCTCCAAAGGGCTGGCTTGCAGGGTATTATCCAATGTGATGGTAAAAATGAGTCTTCAAGTCTTACTCAGGACAGAGTGATCTTACAGACTGTTCTAAATAGAGCTGTGAGACAATATAAATGTTCAAAGAAGGCCTGGGTTTTGGCAGTTTATCTGAAGCACAAATTCCCTGAAAGGGCAAGACTCCTTAGCAGGGCAACTATGGCTTCCATAATAGAAATGCAACCAGGTCCTTATATGGGACATACACAGGAAAGCTTATTGATGCTGTGGCAGAAATAGAATTCCACTTAACAGAGGCACTGCTGCAAGCTACAGTAAAGTTGGAACATTTACCTATCAGTGGAAGTTTGCTTGTTTTAAGTGGACAAAACTGTTCAATTTAGGACAGGCAGTAGACCTATGGACATAGGTAATCACTCATGAGTGAAATGATAATTTAGCTAATCAAATACTATTACCATGACACATTTACAGAAAGGATGACATACACATTTGTTGAATAGCTGTTGTAAAAAAAAACTGTGTAATAAAGGATTGAATTTATTTCACAGAGAAGGCTGATGTAATTAAGGTTGAGAAAGCCAGTTTATTTGCATCTGATTACAATATTGAAGACAAATATTGAACAAAATTATTAAAAATAATGTAAAATAGGGCAACATAAAAAAGTCTAACGGCATGTAATTGGAGTCCCAAAAGAAGAGAAGACAGAGAGTGGGACAAGATATTTGAAGAAATGAACAAAATTTTGCCAAATTTGGTGAAAGACATGAATTTACAGACTGAAGAAACTCAGCAAAAACCAAGTAGAATAAATACAAAGAAATTCATGTTTAGATTCATCATAGTATAAGTGCTGAAAACCAAAAGTAAAGAGAAAATTTTGAAAGCCACTAGAGTAATACAAAATATTACTTAGACATGAACTATGAATTTGAGTGATTAATAACAACAGGCACAATAAGTTGACAAATATCATAAACGTATTGAAACAACTACGTTACCCCAGAATTCTATATCTAGAAAACAATATCATTTAGAAATGAAGGAAAAGTAGAGACATTTTTAAACAGAATAAAATAAAGAGAACTTTTCTCCAGCAGATCTGTACAATGGCAAATGCTAAAGGAAGCTAGGCTGAAGAGAAGTGAAACTCAGAACTTCAGAAATTAATAACAAGCACTGATCGTGGTAAATATGTGAATAAGGTGTTTTTAAAGATGATTTTCCATCTGAATTTCTTTAAAATATATATTAGCATTTGAAGCCAAATTATAAACACTGTCTTGTCAGGTTCAGAAAGTATGTAGGTGTAATTAGCATACAACCACTATGGAACCAAGAAGCATGTAAATGAGCCTCTATGATTGCATGATTTCTATATGATGAGATATAGTATTAAAGCTGTTTTGAAAACATTTACTAAAAGTTCTTGGAAAAATAATGGAAAGTGAAACCTAAATTTCCAGACATTTTGATGTTTTTGCTTCAATTCAGCATAAGTAATTATGCAAAGAGATGTTTGAGGAGTATAGGTAAATGTACAGGGCTATGGAATATGGAGTTTTCAGACCCATTTAAATATTGAAACTCTGTGTAAATTTTAGCTTTGACCTTGAACTTCTCTTCTCTGAATGTTTCTTATATAATACATATTTTGTTAATGCACTTAGGTTGCTATTTGAGATTTTAAACCTAAGGAAGAATTATTTATTGATGGGGGACAGAAGAGCCCAGCCTGAGCTCAGAGAGGACAGTGATAGTGATAGTGTGTGAGAGATGAATCTGACGTGTTCATCTCTCAATTAAACACACTGGCAAAGAGCCAGCCTGGAGCCTTCTCATGATAACTGAGATTTAAAACCTTGCCTTTATTGTGAAACATATAGAATCTGTAAAGAAATTGTAAGGTTCAAGGACTTTTTCAAGCTCCTCACTTTCAATTTCTTGGTTTTATTAAACAGTGCCCAAAAGTTGCAGTTACTTAAAAGATATATAAAAAAAATTGCAATTAGAATGCAAATCAGCCAAGTGAAGTTAATTGACCAGTTTTGGTTATCATCATCATGATGACAAAGGCTAATTCAGATGCTCTGACAAAGAGGTGATCGAGTCCTGAATCAAAATGAAAACCGTCACCTTTCTTTTTTTAAGTTCTTGGCTCACAGTCTTATAAACTAGAGCTATCTGAAATTGAACTATGGTTGCCTCAAGTTATCTAGTCTATAGTAATAATCATTAACATTGAGAAGATATATGTATGCATATATTCAAGCTGCATATAATATTTCATTTAACCTTCAAGTCAACTAATGGACTGGATATGGCTATCATCACTTGGAGTTTACAGGTGGGAAGTGGAAGATTTCCAACTTCCCAGAGTGTTGCCAGTGATGAAACCATAATCTCATCTGTGTCCCAAAGCCAGTACTTTTAAACCTTAGGCTAACTGCTTCTATTTCCATAAAGGTCTGGCCAATTGTACTGATGCCAGGACACGAGGCAAATTTCCAGAAGCATTATTTCACCTCTGATCCTGTCCCTTTCTTCAGAAGAGGAAAAAATAATGAACACTTGTATTAGTTTCCTAGGGCCCCCATAACAAACTGTCACAAACTGGGTGACTTTGAACAACAGACATTTATTCTCTCACAGTTCTGGAAGCTGGAAGTCCAAGCTCAAGTTGTCAGCAGGGCCATGTTCCTTCTCTAGGCTCCAGCGAAGAATCCTTCCTTGCCTCTTCCTAGCTTCTGTGGCTCCTGGCAGTCCTTGGCATTCCCTGGCTTGCAGCTGTATCACCCCAATCTCGGCCTCCGCCATTATATGGCCTTCTTCTCTGTGACTCCCCATGTATCATCTCCTCTTCTTATCAGGATGCCACATAGGATTTTGGGTCCACTCTGATCCAATATAACCTCATCTTAACTAATTTTATCTTCAAAAAATATATTTCTAAATAAGGTAACATTCTGAGGTTCTGGGTGGATGTGAATTTGCAGGGAACACTATTCAACCAACTAAACCCCTAGTGAATGCATCATTTCTCTCTGAATAAGCCCTAATCTGATTCTGTTGTTTTTGTGGAATTTAGTACACCTGTATTTGATTAGCACTTTGTGGATTTCAAATGTTTTTATCTGTCTTCTCTCTTTTGATCTTAAAAATGTTATACATAACCTGGGCATGTGATACCAATCGCAGTTTTTGGATGATGATACCAAGATTTTAAGTCATTTCTCAAACTTCAAAACTCAGTTAAGTGACAGATCAGGAAGTAGAATCTAGAATGTATAACTTTAACTCCATTTACATTCCCAAATCCACCACCCCACAAATAAGGGCTCATTCATTTATCAAAGATGTATTGCATTCTTATTGTATGCCAGGCATTGTTTTAGTTAACAAGAGCACAAAGATATTCAAATTTGACTCCCCACCTGTCAATAGTTTGCAACCCAAAGAAAAAATCACTTATGAAACCCTCACGTTGTTTAAATGGGCCACATGTACTACTTATAAATAATAATATATCAAATGCATCAATGTGAAGAAATAAGTTTTTAACATATAACAATTCAAATTCTTATGTATCCCTCTAATAATGTAACTTTTATTTGTGGGAGAAATGGGTCAAATAACACATTTGTGTGAGCAAGCGAACTTAACTCTAGAATTGTGTGAGTATGTAAATAGATTTGGACATAAATCCGAGCTGTTGGTTTAGGTGTAGTGACTACTCTCTATCAGAAAGACATGAGCTTCTACCTTGTTTACAAAGATTTAAAGAGAACTGTCAGTATCTTACATCAACAAACTAGAGCTTGGCAAGCTAAGACAATGCTAAATCGCTCATGTTACAGTTCCTGCCCATTTAACAAATGCTTTCCTTATGGAGAGCAGTAGTTCCCTTATAGAGAGCATCCCACCTTCTAACAACTATCCAGGCTCTATAACTCTAACTGAAACCTGCCCCAGGGCCTTTGCTTGTAGCAGAAGTTCTCACCCACAGCAGTCCCAACATTGCCACTAACAAATACGTATAAGAAAATAAAATGTATTCATCATGCAATCTGTCTAGCCACTGATACGATTTCTTAAAAGACAATATAATACTCTCATTTAAATATGAAGATGTAAAAGGAAAGCAAGTTATTCTAACAGCATATGCATCTCAATATATTAGTGATTGGTTACAGCTTCACTAGAAAACACAGTGAAGTCTTGAGATGCTTGTACAAATAAGGAGAACCACAATGAGTGTCACACATTGATGGAGGTGCATTACATTGGGATTCAAATGCTAGGATTGGTGTATCAGTGACATTCTGAAATAGTGAGTAACTCTTGGTAATGTTCTTAACAAAACAAAGGAAATCATCCCTCAATTTAGAAGGCAGTCACAGTCCTGGAAATCCAGTGTAGAATAAAACTCTGAAACTTCTAATTCACAGCTCAATAAAACACTGACACACCTACATATAAGGTGGAATTATATGTAGTTCAGATCATTTTAAAATGCCTTTTTTGCATCTGCATAAATATCTGCTAGAATATTTGAAACTTGTGCAGGAATGTGCTGGCCCTTTCCCACCATATTCCCCAATCCATGGAACAACCAAAATGCCCACAAAATTCTGAAATATTTTCTAGGGAGTAGCATTGCCCCTTCCTTGAGACCGACTAATTCATGCTCTCTGTTGCCTTTTACATACTAGATTTTGTCTAAGGGCCTATTTTTATTTGTCAATAGCTATAGAGTGCTTACTATGTGCCAAGACATTTTATAAACACTAACTTATTTAATCTTCAAAATAGCTCTGTGAAGTAGGTATTATTATTACTCCCAGTGTACATTAGAGGTAACTGAGGAATTAAATCACTGGCCCGAAGCCACAGAGCTGGTAAGCGGTGGAAGCTGAAATTTGAACTAGGCAGTCTGGCTCCAGAATCAACGCTTTTCTGTGTACTAATGCTTCTTACTAGTTGGGGAAAAAGAGGCAAGTTTGTTATATGAAAACTGTTAGCTCTACCACTGCCTCACTCTATGACCTATCTGAACTCTGAGCATATGTATTATGCAGGGAAGAGCCAAAGCGCCTTTAGATACTCCCATCTCTAACACTCTCCCAGGGGATAAAACACTGCCCTTTTAGAAACCATACTTGCAAGAGCATTCCCCACCAATGAAAACAGGGAACACATTTGCCTTGTTCACTGCACATGCCCCTAACACATATAATGGATATATAATGAAGAGCATGAATATTATTGCATAGATGAATGAATAAATGTGAACCAAAAATTCAGTTCAATAGTTAGCCCACCTGTCTTAGTCCATGTTGTGGTTGCTATAATAAAATACCACAGACTAGGTAATTTATAATAAACAGAGTTTTGTTTCTTATAGTTCTGGAGGCTGGGAAGTCCAAGATCAAGTGCCTGCATCTGGCAAGGGGCTGCTTGATGCATTATCCCATGATGGAAGGTGGAAGGGCAAAAGAGTGAAACTGGGAGCAAGAACAAGAGAGTAAAGGAGCCAGACTCATCCTTTTAATCAGGAACCCACTTCCGCAATAACTATCCCACTCCTGCAATAATGACATTGATTCATTCATAAGGGCAGAGCATGCATGACCTAATCACCTCTGAAAAGCCATTGTTGCACTGGGAATTAAATTTCCAATGCACATAAACTTTGGAGGACATACTGAAACCATAGCACCATTCCTTTACAACTTTCCTCAAGATCTTCAGCTCTATGCATCATCCTACTGGAAAAATCACACTGCATTTCATACTTTGGTAAGAAGTCCAAGGTCATTGATATCACAGTCTCACAAATTCCTTCCTATCACTTTCATCAGATTATTGAACAGCTACACCTTTCTCTCCACCTGGAAGCCTCTGTGCTGCTCTTCCTCTGTCCTCCCTCCTTCCATCCTCAGGGAGAGATGGGGTACTCCATCTCATCTCTTTTCTTTCTTCTTCATTCAGTCCCTTGGTTTCTTCTTGAGTTTTCTTCTCTGTGAAGTTATCAATCAGCAGATCTTGGCCTTCAACTCTACCATTTCCTGAGGCTCTGACCCCATGGTTTCACTGCACTTATTGCAGAGATCACCTAGGGTTAGAGATCCACTAGCCCTAGAATCTTCATATTTAATGGGGTCTTTACTCAGAACTGTAACACACTTTGGCTTCTGCGTGAAGGTTTCAGATGCTTTTACAAAGGAGATGTGAATAAGGAATAACTGGGGAAATGTCACCTTCAGTAAAGTGGGTTTAAAACAAGGTTTAGGAGAGGTGGACAAAGGCTTCATCACAGTACCCACTCACAGTCAGACTGAAATCATATAGAGAAGGTGAGTGACAAAGCACCTCAGTGGTGAGCCACGCACAAGAGGACACATTTGGGAGAATGTCCCTGGTAAGGGGGAGAATAGGAGGTATCTGCCACTAGTTGTGGCATGTCAAAGAAGTGGGTTGACACCACTATTTTGGTTTTGGTTTGCCCAGGGTTCTGAATGCTCTATAATGAATAGACTTAGAGCTCCATGTACTTGAGTTTCTATATAGGCACCGCAGATGTCAAATATTTTTATGTTCATCTATAGCAAGAGAAATACTCTGAATTTCTCCCTCTTATGCTATATCATTTTTGTGTACTCTTATAAGATATCTTTAAATATGAGGATTTGTGGGGCCTTTTCTCTGACCTTTTTGAGGGGAAGGATCTTCTACTTCCCAGGAAACTACCTTTGGTTGAGTGGACACCATGAGTCACGATCAGGTTTCTATTTCTACTCAACCATACCCACTTTCTATCTTTACTTAGAATCGTATTTTTAAACTCAAATTCATCTCTGAACTCTGCCTCTGTTTTAGAAGTCCTCTTTAAACTGTGGAGACCAAAACAGAACACAACACATTCTACTTTAGCTTTGTGGAAGAGAATTACAGAATTCCAGCATGGTTTCAGATTGAGGTTTGTTTCTAGCTTCAGGAGTGAATATTGCAGCCTTGTACTCAGTCTGAGATCCACAATGACCATAGCATTTGAGCTATGTTTTCCCTATCCTAAAATTTTATATTGCCCAATAGCTTTGCTAAATTCATTCTGTGAATAGAAGTCCATGCACAAAGTATGATGGGTGCTTTCAATTATAAAGACTCCCTAAGTAAAAAACATACAGTTTACATAAAACTTTGCCAAGGACTCCCAAATATGGCAGTTCTTCAACTGTGAGAGCCTTCCAATTTTTCTGAACTCATGTCCCCATGTCCTATAATCATATAAAATGTCAAAAGGATCCTAAAATATCAGCTAATTTTAACAAACTCCTCAACATCATATAAATAGGCTTTTTAAATGAAAAGCATAAAAAGAAAGAAAGCGCAAAACTGAATTACTGAATGATGTGGGTATCATCAAATTAGGGTATCATCCAATTAACTCTGCATAAAGTAGATTTCTCTCTTACGATGTGTGTACTGCTCCCTGCTGTGAATTAAATATATATATAAATATATATACATACATATAAAACTTAAATTATGGCAGATTGTCTAATATTTAGCCCTACTTCAGCACTTTTCAAAGATCTCTAAGGCTGCCTTCTGAGGCTGATTTACTTGTGCAAGTTTTGGATCTGAGCCCAGAACACTTGGTCTGTATAACCAAAACAATACTGATGGTCACGGAGCACCTGATGAACACAAATTTGTCAAGACGTACAAAAACTCTAAATGTTCACAACCTAGCCTTAGCCTCAAACTAGGACTGTTGTGAGAGAATTCCAAACAAATTGCATACTCTCTGGCTGTCGTGCTCCAAGAGGGACGGGGGCTGCGAAATGTCAGCTATTTGAAGGGAAAAAACTGGCCCCCACCACCTTCCAAAAACATACTATGGCTTCTGATTGGCTGCAATTCAAAGCTGTCCTCTGGCTTGCGAGGCGACATGATGTTGCCGTCTCTAATCCCTCAACAGACTACAAAGATGCTCCCCAAGCATCCTAGCTTCAAAGCCTTCCAAGAATCTGTTTGAACTTTTTTTTTTCTCTGTTAGCTACTTAAGTTTTCAGGTTTTTACGGCCTTTTGAGATTAACAAATCGATTCCGAAATTTAAGAAGCAGATACATCTGAGTGGGTGCTTATGGGTTGGCTTTTATTTATAGTGTGGTGGAAGGTGGGAGGAGAAAGGTCTGATGGGAGCTTTCAGAAGGTCAAGAGATCAGAACAACAAAATAATCTTCTCAGTGGCCTCAAATTCACATGGTAAACACACAGCTTCTGCATTCAGCCTGTCTATGTAAATCAGACTCTGTCCTGAAAAAGTAGCTGTGGAGCTGAGAAGGAAAAGGACTTTTTCAGCCAGTAGCACACAAAGGAATTAGATGGTGGGAAACCTATTTCAGCAATAACTGCACCATTTTCCATTTAGTTTGGACTTTTGTCTGTCTTGCCCTCCACAGCCACACCTCAAGCAAGAAAGTGCAAACAGTCCCCGCAAATAACTTCAGGAGTAGCACTTAGATCCTTTTTATATTTGAGAGTGAAAAAAGAAGGCAAAATAGCACACACCCCCAAAACTATCATCCCAAACTCCACGATTCCTTATGGGCAACTCGCAGGCCACATCAGAGGATATTATCACATGAAAAAAGAATGAGGTGACATTAGGTCTTGAAATAAAAGACATTAGTTCTAAATGGAGGAAAAGCAAGTCTGCAAAATGCAGTAGTAGGCATAGTTCAGTAGCCTTTTAATGAATGAAGACACAGGGTATTGGGCTGTTCTTGCATTGCTATGAAGAAATACCTGAGACAGGGTAATTTATAAAGAAAATGTTTAATTGGCTCTGCAGCCGGTACAGAAAGCATAACACAGATGTCTGCTTCTGAGGAGGCCTCAGGAAGGTTACAATCATGGCAGAAGGCAAAGGGGGAGGAGGGGTCTCGCATGGTGGGAGCAGGAGCAAAAGAGAAAGAGCCAGGCGCCACACTTTTAAATAGGCAGATCTCCTGAGAAGTCAATCACTGTCGTGAGGACAGCACTAAGAGGATGGCGCTAAACCATTCATGAGAAATCCGCTTCCATGATCCCATCACCTTCCACCAGGCCCCACCTCCAATACTGGGGATTACAGTTCAACAGGAGATTTGTGCAGCGACACAGATCCAAACTATGTTACATAGCTACTTTCATCAGCATATATATAATACCCATTTCAGTTGTGGTTTGTAAATCAGTCCCAAAGCTGGAAGCTTACGTGTAAGACTGCTCTTTACCTCAACCTCCTTTGTTTCGCTTTTGCTTTTTAGTCACCTTAATCAGGAGGGTTTGTAAACACATTTTCTATTGTCCCTGCTTTGGTCTAATATTTAAGGATTAAAGTATAACAGAACTGCTAGTTGTGACACTAAATTAGACTAGGACTCTCTGCCCTGTCGGAAAATGACGTTATTTGTATTTCCTTGCTAAATGCTGGAAAGTAACCGCATTACTGGGGAGAACTTCCTCCAAAAGAATCATGAACAATCTGCTTACATGCTTACAATCTGCTTACAAGTCATACAAGATAAGCAAGATCTAATTTTTAAATTCTAAGCATTCTTTTTATATTTCATGACAATTTGTGATAATGCAAACTTAATCATGTTACTCTTATGAAGACACACACACACACACCACCACCACCACCACCATTTCCCTTATTTCCACCTTGCTTAAATTCTTCATTGGCTTCTTATTGCATTTCAGATGTAACAAAAAATGCACAACAGAGCAAGCTTTATTCTGACCCCTGTTCTGGCTTTACCTTTGACCAAACTTCACCTTGTGTTCTGGGCTCAGCCACTGGGCCTTATAACTTCAACAACTCTAACTTGCTCTGCTACCTCCTGCTGCAGGGCCTTTGTATGTCTCTGATTTCAAAGCTCTTCCTCCCAGCCCACTTCCTACCCCCATTACTTTGGATAATTAGTTCTTACTCACCTTTGGAGCTAAGATCACTTCCCAGTGAGCTTTTCCCTGAAGACCCTGGTCACTGCCAGCCACCATCAGACTGAATCATGTCCTTCTGTATTCACCCTTCGCATTTTGGAAAAGCACAGGCATTCCTGCCATTATCTAATGGACATTTTTTTCTTGATCCACTAGACCTTAAGCTTCACAAAAGCAACTATGAAACATAATGCTCTTGTTTACCACTTTAGCCTTCAGGGTAACACCAGGCCCCCAAAATTCTTGGATGAATTAGTGAACACACTTTTTGTCACCATCAAGCTTTGAGACAATAGAGTTGTGAAGACTCAGAAGGAAACATGGTGTGCAATCTCAAAGGTACCTGAAGAGGCTTGAATGAAGTGGCCATTCACAAAGACAGGAGTGGAGGAAGAGAACTCAGGAAGGAAGAAACTTTGTTTTCCTTCATACAGATTTGCAAAGAAAAAAAAAATCTACAATGTCAACTTTTGATATAGCTTTCATGGTAACGAAGGTGAAAATTTAAATGTTCACATACTTTGATTCTGCATTTTCACATGTAAATTCTAAAATATGTAGTAGAATGTTCTTTGGGAGTCTCTGCATGTGGAGTGCAACTGGAACTTCAAAGTGCTCTAAATGTCCTTCGAGAGGCAAATAAATAATGGCATACTCATGCAAGGGTATATCATTCAGCCATCAGCAGTGAACAATGCTTTTGGCCAAGGTCTGAAGTTGTAGAGATGTTTCATCTTTTGCGTTTTGTATGCCTACGTGGCTTGTGTTTTCTCTAATTTTATATTGCTTTTAAAATTATAAATCTCAGTAACAATTAAGAAGAATCACTATGACTAAACCATTTCATTTTATAAATGGTAACAAAGTGACTCAGAGACATGTTTACTTGAAAAAGGTCACAGAGCAGAAAGAGGAAGTCTCCTGTCAGAATCTTACTCCAGGGCTCTTTTCACCCACCGTATTTTCTTGATGTCAATTGTATTTAGAATAAAATGCATACAAAATGGTTAGATAGTAATTCTGGAAAAAATTGAACAATTACTATGATGAGCTAAAAATTCAAATGCTGTTCTAGACTTAGGAAATTGAGTTCTCATGTATTTATGCTGAAGAAGTTTTGATTTGCTTGAAAATAAAGCAAAACAAAAATCAGGCTTTTCTAATGTACCACTAATGAATCACCCTTGTGACAATTCTTGAATTTTACTGCAATAAAAATCATAGAAACTAGGAACATCTATCACAAGAAGTAAAATACAAATATACAAATATAAATACAGTTCAGTAAATATAAATATATTGGAGAAGTTCCTTGTCCCTGGGTGGGCTGGAATGAAGTTCACTGACGTCGGAGCATAATTACTAAAAATAATTCAAACATCAATTAATATTCAAAACAATGACATTCATATTTCAGCTACTTTCAGTTGCTAATAAAAGAAATTAAAAGGCTTATAATATGAAAAGGATATTAATAGCTTAATGAAGATTGACCTAGAAAGCAGATTTTTATTTTAACCCAGGAAAGATTTATAGATAATGAACTGCTTTTAATGATTTATTTTAGGAAAACTGATACACTGGGAGATTTTGCAATCTGTTCCAATCATAATTCACAAAAGAACTGCAATAGATGTTAAGAGAAATTGAAATGAATACATCTTCTGCTCTAAAACACAAAACTAAGTAAAATTTAAGGAATCTCGGCAACTCAAAACAACACAGTCTATATGTTCCTATCTTACTTCATCATCAATATCCATCATTCTGCATCCTCTCCTTTCTCTGAAGATTTATATAGACCAATCTATATCCCTACAACTTCATTTGAATGTAATTATATGTAGAGAACCTAAAAGTCCAAATTCAGTAAAATTTGTAAATGCTCATCACTGGCATTTTTCTCATAGTAGCCAACAAACACTTCCATGTAAATGGTCTAAAATGGTGTTATGCAAATAGAGATAGAAGTATACATAAAGATTTTTCAAGAGAAACATGGGCGTGGAGAGTTTTAAGTGAATGAAATTCCGGTAGGTTTTCAACTTTCCCAAGTCTGATAAGTCTGAGATGTCTGTGGCACTGCTGGCTACTCCTGCTCCTTTCTTATCCACCCTAAACTGGTGTCCTTCTCATCCCTTAAAAAATAAAGCCAAGTCTCTCATCCAACCAGAATCTTGCTAAGGGGCATAATCTCAGGAAGTAGAATCCTCTGGGGCACCAAACAAAGGGATGTAATAAGTTTCTTCCATCCAAGGCACCATAAGCATATAAAGGTGCTTTGGTTTTCCCTGCATCATACACACGCTCAGAGTGCAGACAGGTTATAGAGTGAGGCAGTGGTAGAGCTAACAGTTTTCATTAAATAATCTTGCCTCTTTATCCCTGCTATTGAGAATGCATGCATCCATCCTGAGGGATAGTCCCAGGAGGACAAATGGGAATGAGTTGGAAGACACCTTGACAGCAGCAGAGTGTCACATCACCAAGCCTTGTGCCTCTTCTATCTCAATTCAAAATTTCAGAAATGAAATGAAGATCATTGCAGTACATATTAACATGTTCACTTGAACTAAGAAATGAAATCAGAGTTTGTCTGACATTGAGGGCTGAGTTCTCCAATTAGATTATATGTAAATAACATTTCCCATGAATTGAATTGAATGAATTAAAACTACAACTCCAAGGATTGAATACCCATAAACTTCAGATAAAAGCTTTCCTTAAAAAAAATTACATGAGCAAAAGTGTACTGAAATTACCAATATTCTGAACCTTTCTAAGTTTTACATGATTCTGCTATGTGAAAAAGTAACTGATACAGAGAATGATCCTTTGATCCCTTGCCCCAAATTGAGAAAGTAAAAGACTCCAATGCTGGTAAATAAATCCTCCTACAAGTCAGGTTGTTTCCAATTTCTCAGATTTAATGAATTTAAAGGTAAGCCTACTTAAGTCTTCCATCAACAGATTAATAAAATGGCTTTTGGTGACAAAGCACTGATGATGTTTTTTGGCATATAACTTAGGAGTTCAAAGATTGGAGAGGCATGACTATAAAACAGACTTCCATTACCACCCATTTATTTATGTGAGCATTATTTTCAGCATGTACATTTATGAAAAAGAAAAAGAGAAATACTATTGATATTAATGCTTATTTCATTTTAGTAATAATAATTTTCACCCCAGACACATGAAATAATTTTTTGAAAAGATGGTCTCATTTATCTTATTAAGAGATATATTTCCAGTAAAGTTACACTTTTCACATTAAAAATATTTATAAAGTTGGGCTCGGTGGCTCAGGCCAGGAGTGCAAGACAAGCCCGGACAACATAATAATACCCCATCTCTACAAAATAGTTAAAAATCAGCCAGGTGTAGTGGCACAAGCCTGTGGCCTTAGCTGCTTGGAAAGCTAAGGTGGGAGGATCACTTGTGCCCAGCAGTTCAATGTTATATAGAGCTAGGATCGCTCCACTGCACTCTAGCATGGGTAACAGAGTGAGTAAAATTGAAGTGGCTAAAGTGTATAAAAGCACTTAAATAGGACAGGGCTGGGATGAACACTTGTGCATGTTATATATGATGATTTTCTATGTCAGTATGTTTGCCTCTACTTAGAATAAAATGTTCTATATAGTGACATATCAAATTGATCACAAGCATGACCACTGGGTGGATCAGGGAATGAAGAGAGAAACTCCTTTTTGTTTCACATACTTCTGTATTATTTAGTTCTTCTTTCCCAACAGAAATTATGATGCCGGAATTGAAAATCATCTAATATTTTCAACCAGCAAGTACTACTTTTATAATTTAAAAAAAGAAAAACAAATAAGTTTAAGGAAATAAAATAACATTTTAAAACAATGTAACACATCACAATAAAATTACCATAAGATTACACACTTCTTTTCTGTTCCTAAGTCACATTTTACAATACCAATTGTTTGAAGACAATAACTAACTCCTCTAAGAACAAAGTCTACATTTGCTAAGAAAAGCTGTTTCCCACTTTCACTTACAATAGGAAAGTCATTTGGTTACTGAACTGAAAAACTGCAAACTGGCTTGTTCTTGTAAACTGTTCAGTTTTTCTACAATTGTTGACAAACCCCGAGGTTAAACACATTGTGTAACCTCAATACTTACTTACTTAGAAAAAAAAAACAAAAAACAGTTTCTTTTCTTCTGCCCTCAAGTTTAATTAAAATAGCAGCCAGAGTTCCTGTGGTCAGGACGGCCACCCCTTGAAGACCATCTGTACAATCCATAGAACCAGTTTTTCTTTAATGTTATCTCTACCACTATTAATCATCCTCTTCAAAGATAACTGCCTGCAAAGCATTTTTAGAAACAAACACATTAATACCATCTTGACTATCTGATTATAATCTTTACTTTTAAGAGAGCCAAGACAAAAACTGAGAAAAATTTTAATATCATTCAGAACAAAAATTTCTTCCGCTTTCTATTTTACTTAACTAATTGATCAGTGGCTTTGGATGGAAAAATTTACATTCATAAATAAAATATTTTGCACACTTTTATCTGAAAGGGTATTCTCATTTTTATGAAATTATATTCAATAATCTCATGAAATGTGAAAAAAAATCACTATCATCCTCATCTATAATTTGACTTGCCCATTTTCTTATGTTTGTGTATGTGCACCAAAAAGCATATACAAACTCCTTGGGGCAGGGACCATATTTTTATATTCCAAGAGCACTCCACATGACATCTAGGAAACAGATGCCATGATACTAAACATAGCTCTACATTTTATTAAGACATCTGTGTGTTTAGTGAGATGATAAACCCTTTAATTAATTTGAAAAAAAAACCTACTCCATAAACAAGAGACAGGATAATATTTGCTTCCCAGCAGCAATAACCTAGTGGTGGAATGAACCAAGCATGTCTATGGTTTATTGATGTATGGGAAAATGACCGCCTCCTCCCTTCCCCTTCCATCACCAGCCCTTCTCAAAGGTTGTGTCCATTATCTCCTTTTAAAAGCAGCCAGCTTTTCAGAGTTTCTAATTTTAGCTTAACTGTAGAGTGAAAAGAAATAAGTTAAGAATCACTCCATCCAGTTACATGGTTTTGCCTTCCCATCCAACAGCCCAAGAATTTCTTAAAGTCTATGGAACAATTCACTGGGGCCCCAGAATAGGACCTATGATGTCTCTGAAAAAAAGAGAAAAAGAAAAAATCAAAACAGTTATCTACGGTGTGGTTCAAATATCTGTCTAGTCTTTGGGATTCTGACAAAAGGAAGCAAATCTCCAGATGTTCTAAAAATGCCTTCCAGTGCACTAAACCCCCAGCAAAAGGCCAATTCCCTCCTCAACCTCTTCCTTCCCCCAGCATGCAGATACCCCATATGAACATGGAAGAGTAAGACTCTAGGTTAGCACCTGAAAATATTTATCTACAATTTAAAAGCTGCAGGAGGAGAAAGGAGGCAGTTATTGAAACAAGAACTTAGCCAGGCAGGTGGCTCATGCCTGTAATCCCAGTGCTTTGGGTGGCCCAGATGGGATGATCACTTGAGCCCAGAAATTTGAGATCAGCCTGGACAACAGAGTGAGACCTTGTCTCTACTAAATATTAAAAAATTAGTTGGGCGTTGTGGTGCATGACTCTAGTTTCAGCTACTCAGGAGTCTGAGGTGGGAGAATTCCTTGAACCCAAGAGTTTGAGGCTGCAGTGACCTGTGATCATGCCACTTCACACCAGCCTGGGTGACAGACCAAGATCTCGTGTCTTAAAAAAATTAAAAAAGCAAAATAATATTATAGAGGAACAAAATGGGGCAATGGAAAAGAAAATACCACCTCTGGGAGGCACTCACCAGCATCCCTTCAGACTTTCCACAGTGTTTGGTAAGTACCCACCTGGGTCCAGCACTGTACTGGACATTAGGTGAAGCTTATCTTCATAGTGATGCCATGCTTCTTTAAGGGTGTAAGATTTATAACAGCACTTTTCCTTTCTGTTTAAGAAGGACAGAGAGGAGATTCTCTGCATTGTTCCGTATAATATAAACTAGACTTTAAAATATGTGGCAGTTCATTGCAAATCATTCACTGTATTTATTAGAGCTAACTTAAAAGTAATCTTGCACTTTCTTCCCTGTAGGATGGTATTTTCAATATAATTAGAGTTTTTCATGGCAGAATTTTTTTTGTTTTCTGCACTTTTAAAATTTTATAAATATCATATAACAGCAGAAGAGAATTTAAAGGAAAAATAACTCATCCTTAATACCAACACTATAATGCAACATCTGGCTTCATTTTTGAACATCCTCTTACAGTCTTTTGTCTATAAACTAACATATTTTACATATTTATATCAGAGTGAAGGCACAATTTTTATTCTCCTTGTATTTTTCCCTAATTTTACATCTCAATATTTCCATATTGTTGCATTTTAAAAATTTATTTCTCATGGTACTTCAATAATTCCTGTTGCTGAAATATCATGATTTATGTATTTACTTTTTGAAACTTTTTATCATTTGATTCATGTCTAATTGTTTTAGTCCTGAAAATACTATAATGACAATCTTTTTTTTTTCTGCTGACTTTGTTATCCTTTATAATGACTATCTTTGTGCATGTTTTCTTTTTTTGAAATATTTTCTTGGGATACATTTATA
This sequence comes from Homo sapiens, assembly GCF_000001405.40. Classification (NCBI taxonomy): domain Eukaryota; kingdom Metazoa; phylum Chordata; class Mammalia; order Primates; family Hominidae; genus Homo; species Homo sapiens. The sequence goes on along the minus strand of NC_000020.11, from coordinate 8,206,701 downwards.
TGATTCAGCACAGCAATTTAGATAATTCTTAGTATTTACCATTCTTAGGAATAAAAATAATGAAAAAGTATGTTAGCTAAAATATAGTAAGTATTTATTTTATATTTCACATTAGTTGTGGCAGAAGCAAATCTAGATGCAGGTCCAAAAATGAATTTTACTAAATTTATCAAATTATTATATGAAAGACTATTAATTTCCAAGTCAGAGTGAGGGCATATTTCCTTCAAAAAGGTAGCAACGATAACAATGCCTTCATACTCCTTTATGAGGTTACCCATAATTCCTGTCTCATTTTATTGAATCCCACAGCTCTGAAACTAAGCAAATTTAACTGAGGGGCACTATATAAGACTTTTACATCTTATCTAAAATGTTCACAATACATAAATGATTAAAATACCAAGAAGGTGGGAGAAGGATGAGAAATGCAGGAAAATGGGAGAAGGATGAGAAATGCTGAAAGAATGTTTACCTTAAAACCAAAGCCACTGTGCTAACATCTATACAAGTCATAGGTCAGGAAAAGAGCACACACAAATGTGTTATTTTCTCATTCTCTTCTTTGAGCAAAGGTCAAAACTGGATTTGCAATGAAGCTTACTGTAGGAGGATGTTAGTTGATTCTTGAACTTGTTTAACCTTATTTCTATCGAACAGGTGAATTTAAGAAACCATGCTATTACATAACAAAGTTTTTATTGGAAAAAATAAACTATAATTTATTCATACACTGAGGATGATCTACCTATATATTAATTTAATTTTTTCCATTTTTATCATGGATAATTTTGAATATACACAAAAGTAAACTTAATAGTATAATGCACACTCAAAGCCATAAACCAGCCTCAAAAACCATTCATTCGTGGTCATCCTATCCAACCCCAACCCCTTCTCCCATGCCCCTATTCTACTTTAATCCAGTCCCAGATATCATATAATTATACCTGTAAATAATTCAGAATGTATCTCTAACGGTGTAGTTTCCCTCTTTTGCAAATAACTAAAATACCTAAAGCAAATTAATAGTAATTCCTAAATATCATCAAATACTCAATATTCAAATTATCTCACAAGTGCCATAATTTTAAAAATCCCAATCTAAATGAAAGCCATACATTGGAATTGTTTAAGATGAGCTGTATGTGTTCTAAACTATTGTTTCCCCTTCTGTCTTATTTTTTTCTTGGAATTTATTTGTTGACTAAACCAGATTGATTGTCCTGAAGATTTTCCTACTTCCTATAGTATAGTATGGACAAATTTCATCCTACATCATTTAATCATACATTTCTCTTCTCAGTGTTTTCAATAAATCAGTAGCTGGATCGAGAAGCTTGAAGAATTTCAGGTTTGATATTTGTTTTTGTATAAGTATTTCACAGAATGTATATCAAGAAGACTTTTAATTAATAAAATATACGAATGCTAATAAAGTTAGAAGCCAGAGAAGACCAGATAAGAAAAGTAGATAAGAAAAAACTCATATTGTTCTGTTTCAACATGTGTAAGAATATTAATCACCTTTTCAAGAGTCCTGTTATATTTCATAACAACATTAAATCAACTATTTTAAATAATGTTTTTTTCACTCTGTCTTTTCGGATTATTATGCTAAATGGATTTTATCATAAAGAATTTAAGGCAACTTCAAGATGGATATTCAGTTTAAATTCAAAACATATTTCTAGGATAATAACTTATTATCACAGATGGCAAAAGCAGAATAAGATTAACTGAATTCAATGTCAGAAAGCAGAAGCAACCAGTATTGTCAAATAAGTGGCAAGGAAAAAAAATGATGAAAGGGAACCCTATTATTTAAGGCAGAAAATCATAGGTGTGACACATAGGATATGATTTATAAATATTTGTTGAATAACAACAGACTTAGAATGAATGGACTATCCCAGTGTATTAGGCTGTTCTTGCATTGCTATAAAGAAATACCTGAGACTGGGTATTTTATAAAGAAAAGAGGCTTAATTGGCTCACGGTTCTGCAGGCCGTACCCGAAGCATGTGCCAGCATCTGCTTGGCTTCTGGGGAAGCCTCAGGGAGCTTTCAATCATGGTGGAAAGCAAAAGGGGAAGCCAGCATCTCACATGGTGGGAGCAAGGTTGGGTGGAAGGAGGTGCCACAAAGACAACACCAAGCCATGAGGGATCTGCCCCCATGAGCCAAACACTTTCCACCAGGCCCCATCTCCAGCACTGGGGATTACAATTCAACCCGAGATTGGAGCCCAGGACAAACATCCAAACTATATCACCTAGGGTGCTTATGAAGATGCCTGAGTTCAGTAAACAATTCTGTCTCCTTCTATGAGAAATGACAGGATGAATGATCAAGAATGATCACACCACTAACATTATGTGCCTTCACTCCAATCTTTTCCTGTGTTTCTCCAGAGAGGAAAAGCCCCTAATCCTCCAACTCCAATTATTTAGTTGTTAATAATTTAACAAATTATTTCCATCCCTCTGCTCCCTTGACACATTGCTCATGACACCGGACTACGTATTCAATTATTTCCCCACCCTGTCATTCTTAGCTCTCTCTTTCCACAGTTCATCTTCCTTCTAACCCATTCCAGTCCATTCTTAGGAAGAAAGAAACCAAAATTCTATTTTGTCTTAGGTATTTTGTCTCCCAGAAGTAGATCCTGATGCAAGGATTTGGTTGCAAGTAGGTTATCCTGAGGTGACCCCAGAAGGCACCAAGAGGGAAGTTGAGAAGTGAGACAGAGAAGGGATGGAAGGCAATGAAAGGTGTTATAAAGTACAAGTCCTTCACTATGGGCAACTGGGGCTGAATCCTGCAGGGGATTCTGGAAGACTGTATGCAATGTGCTTCAGGGTTGTACCAATTCAAGGGCAAGAACACTAAGGCACGTATTAAAAAATCTCCATCTATTATTTTGTTGCCTCTTCCCTCCAGAAACATTTGTCCTTTAATTTTCAATAAAGTGTCCTCCAAGTTTTCTCCCTGCATCTCACTTATCATTCTTCAGCAAGACAATAGATCCCTCCCATCATGCATTAAATGTTTCTGTTTTTCAGGAACCTGATTTGTCTGTGCATCTCTCCCTGAACAAGCACATCTCCTCCCTTGGCTTCAATCATCCCCCACCCCACCCCCGGCCTGGTGACATGTACTTCTCTCTTTTCAGAGCCCAAACTCATTTTCCTTAGGTAAAGTGACATTTCCACCTAAATAGTTAAGCAGGCTCCTCAAACTCAGTATGTTCAAAATAAAATTCAGTAACTTTTTCTTTTCATCACTACACTGGAAATTATTTTAAAAATAAAACAATTTCTCCATCCTAATACTCTTCCATTAATGAGTCACTTTCCATCTGGTCACACAAGCTAGACCCTTCCATATCATCTTTGCTTCTTCCTCTTCCTTATTTCCCACATTAAATTTGTCATCAATTCCATCCCTTTCTTATGTCGGTCCCACGTTCCTATTGTTCAGACTACTCCCATTGCTCAGATTCTCATCTGTATCCTCAACTCTAGTGATTTTTACTTTCTCCAGCTTCCAAATGATCCTCCATGCCACTGCCTCTGTGTGTGTACGTGTGTGTGTGTGTGTGCGCGTGTGTGTGCATACAACCCAGAATGACTGAGCTCTTCCAGCTTAAACTTTCCTGCTCCGTAATCACTACTCACTACTTGCCACGTGCACTATAATATTTCCCATTCACTAAAGAAGCAAAGTACCCTGGTGATTCAGTGTTTTGACTCGCTCCCCCTCATATGAAATACAACTCTCTTCAAGGCCTAGACCAAATTCTACTTTCTCTGCGTGTTCTTCCTCATCTCTGCTCCCACATTCACCCTCAAGTCCCTGCAAAACAAATTATTTCCATCCCTGTGCTCCCTCGACACATTGTTGATGACACTGGACTATCAGTCAACATATTGTCTGATGTGATTATTGCAGGCAAACCATCTACCTCCCACCATTATGAGGTCTTTATCCCTGTGTGGGATCCCAGAACACAATGCATTGCCTGGCACACACTGTACTCTCAACATATGCGATTGAATTAAATAAACAAGCAAGCAAACCTATTCCATGTGATATTGATATTATCTAGTCCAACAAATACCTTGATGTATTCTGCATTTGAATGTCTGCCTATCTGTCATAAATATCCACAGAAAGATAGATATCACTGTAGAAACAGACTAAGTAGAAAGTGCCCACATATGTGTGTACACATAAAATAGCTGAATTTCCAAATGGTACAATATCAACATTAACAGGAATAAAAAGTAAGCCAAGAAATAAATGCTGTAAAAAAAACATTATAGGCTGTGCGCAGTGGCTGACGCCTGTAATCCAGCACTTTGGGAGGCGGAGGTAAGCGGATCACTTGAAGCCAGGAGCTGGAGACCAGCCTAGCCAACATGGGAAACCCCATCACTACTAAAATTACAAAAATTAGCTGGGCATGGTGCGCATGCCTGTAATTCCAGCTACCACACAAGGCTGAGGCATGAGAATTGCATGAACCCAGGAGGCGGAGTTTGCAATGAGCAGAGATGCACCACTGCCCTCCAGTCTGGGCGACAGAGTGAGACACTGTCTCAAAACAACAACAACAAAATACACAAACAAAAGAACAACATTATAAAATAACTATACTGCCTTCCTGAATATACTGGCTGAGGAATAAGATTAATATTAACCATGTTGGACATTTTCATTCTGACATCTCTATTAAATATAAGCAGGAATCAAGAAGGATCTACAAAACCCAACACAGGCAATAACTCTATACTTCTTCATTCATGTTGTAGGTAAACTGTGTTCTTCATGTCTGCTCATTTAAAAAGTTAACATTTTCCTTTAAATTTTCTCAACGAGAATTTAAAAACCATGTCACTGATAGCATCATTGATTGTAAAGCTGAAAGGAAATTTTGCTTCAGAGATGAAGCATTGCTTTTCACATTGCTTTTCAGGCTATCTATAACTTGCTTCAGTATGCTTGGGAATTCCAACTGCTTGAGAAAGTAAATCCTTACTCTGGCAGAGTAATAACCTATATGAGATGGAAAGCTTCTGGAATTAAATTTTTCTTCTCCAGTTATATGTTGAGTTGAAGGCTTACTTTTGCATTAAGTACCAAATCATAATGTTGAATTACGTAGAGATTCAGGTTTATTTTAAACCTGAAACCAATAGCAGTTCTCTTGGGCACCCCAGCTGTCATCATGAAGAATCCATTTGAAGTTTTTGCTAAAAAAATTTTTGGATTTTTTTCCTCTGGCTTTAAAATAAGAATTGTATAACCCTATTTTGATTACATACATGGAGAGGCCAATTCTAAGTTATCTATTTAAGATTTAAAGGTTAAAAAAACCCACAATATTTCAAAATATAAGAAAAACAGAGGTGATTATTTTTATACTATTGCTGGAGGGGGGTCCTTTTTTAATAAATAAAACACACAAGACAGAAACTAGTAGTAAATGGCTGAGAAGAACTGGGAACATAACAAAGCTTAAATAACTAACTAAAGAAACCCAAATAAATAAGACAATTATTCTAACTTATTCTATGAAGTGGTATTATCTTGATATTGAACAAGAAAAGTCTGAGAAATAATAATCCTAGGTGGGCCTGCCTTACAAATATAGATGCAAAATAAAATATTAGCAAGAAGTTTGCAGCAGAGGAGAAAAGCTTATTTTATTATATGCAGAGAAGTCATTTGACAAAACTTAGCCTATGTATAATTTTTCTAAATCCTTCAGCGAATCAGACATAAAAGGGAACAGATCTTAATCTGTTAAGAAATATCTTCTACAAATCTAAAGCTGATATTATGCTTAATATTAAAACACAAGAAGCCTTCCCTGTAAGATCAGAGAAAATACACGGATCCAGATAAATACTGCTTTTATTCAGTATTTTATCAGAGGCCCAAGATAATTCAAGGAGATGAGAAAAATATAAAATGGTAAAACAGTTGGAAAAGTGTGTGGTGATGTATAGATTATGAATTTTCTACATAGAAAATCCAAGAGGATCTTCAGAAAAAAACTATTAAAATTCAAAAGATTGTTAAGCAAGGTTACTGGGTTACTAGATCAATATTCTAAGCTCCAATAGCATTCCTATACACAAGAATAACCAATTTTGAAAGGCAATAAAACAATTTCATTCTCTGTAATAATAAAATTTTGAAAGCACATAGAAATAAAATGGGAAGTTCAAGGACTTAATAAAGTTAGTTACATTGATAAATATTGCTGATGGTACACATTTTCTATAACAAAAGAGGTATAATTCAGTTCCTATCATACCAAACATAGAAATTGACTCCAGGTAGATTAAAGCTCTGAATGTTAAAAATGAAAATTCAAGATTTTTGGAAGAAAATATTAAGGCCTATTTCATGGCATAAGAGTAACAATGGATTTTCTAGTATGCTGCAAAAACAATACCCAGGAAGAAAAATATTGATAAGGCTGATCACATTATTATAATCATATAATGGCTATGACATACTTGTGTATATCAAAATATAGCATAAACAAAATTAAAAGAGAGACTTCCAAGAGGGAGAAGATATTAGTAATGCAAATGAGTGACAATGAATTAATATCCGGAATAAATAAATATTTTTTTAACCAATTATAAAATGCAGTGGCAAGAACAAGAACTCTAAAGGTAATTGCCTGGCTTTGAATTCAGTTTCTCCACTTGGTCCTATGTAAACTTAGGCAGTATATTCAACCTCTCTGTGCCTAAGTATGCTCACTGTAGAATCGACTTAGTATCAGGATACACCTTAAATAATTTTATGAGGATAAAATAAGTTAACATTTGTAAATGCTTAAGATATTACCTATTACAATATTCACAAATACTTGTTGCATTATCACATATTAAATATTAGTACGTACAAAGATCTTCATTATGTAGTTTATTTTTAATTATTTCAGAAGTAATATTTTAAGCAAATAAAGTTAAAAGATAAGTTATAAACTAGAAAAATTATTTGCAGTTACTGAAAAATCATTAAGATCCTTAATATATAAAATCATTAAGAATCTCACATACAAACTAATTAAAATATAAGCAACAAATCACCAAATAAGGTTGAAATAATAGGAAAAATAACTTAGGCAAGGAGGCTCAACTTCAAAATAAAGAAATAAAATAGAGGCTACATGGATATATTTTGATATTGCCAAAGATTTATTTCGGCAAACATTCATGGCAATAGGCACATTCATACATTCATGGTGGAAGTTGAAATTGGAGCAGTTTTATTCTGAGAGACAATTTAACTATATGCAATAAGACTCAATTTTTTATATACTTGACTTAATAATTCCAATTCTAGGCTTTTACCCAAAGGGAAACATCTGAGTAGAATGCACAATCAACATGCAAGGATGTCCACTACAGCGCTGCCGACAATGGCGAAATTTCCATCAATGTGAGACCTTTTAAATCAGGTACAGATCATCCACAGAAGGGGCTACTGTCCAGCCTTTAAAAATGATAATATTTGCTCAATGTTCATTGTCAAGGAAAATATATCTATTATTAAAAGCAAGTATACACTATACACACACACACACTTTTGGTAAATAAAATTGTAGATTTATAAATAATTATGTATAGCCACATAGAAAAAAAATTTTTAATGTTCCCGCAAATTAAGATGTTTCTGTCCAGATAATGGGTAATGGGTCCGTGTGTGTGTGTGTGTGTGTCTGTCTGTCTGTCTGTGTGTGTGTCTTTCTCTCTCTCCCTCTTTCTCTCCTTCACACTTTCCATCATTTGTGGAGCTTTATTGAAATGCTTACCACATAATCATAAAACTAAAAATTTGTTCTTGCTTCATGTAATTTGTAATTGTAGTTGGAAATACAAAGACTATCATTCAGTTCTTCAGAAGTGAAGGACAGGTGGATTAGCTGAGAAACCAGCCATTAGCACTAGTGTCAGATATCTAGTTTGAAGCAGCAGCAGTTCCATGCATTCTCTTTCTGAGGCAATATAAAAAAAAGAAAAGAAATACGGTCTGTGGGAATCAGCACATTTCCCTTGATGGCTGGAGTTTACATGGTCTGAGATTATTTTAAAAAAAGATCCCAAAAGGTGAGATACTTCATCCTATACATCTGTTCTCTCTTCCTAGCAGAAGAAGATACTAGGTAAGATTCTTCCTAGGCACAGGTAAGAGAGCCCCATTGCTGTCTCTTTTCCTTGGTTGTCACAGACTTCTGCAACCTTGAATGGAGAAGAGGTTCTACAGAAAATAGCTAGGAATCCAACTTACAAGGGATGTGAAGGACTTCTTCAAGGAGAACTACAAACCACTGCTCAGCGAAATAAAAGAGGACACAAACAAATGGAAGAACATTCCACGCTCATGGATAGGAAGAATCAATATTGTGAAAATGGCCATACTGCCCAAGGTAATTTATAGATTCAATGCCATCCCCATCAAGCTACCAATGACTTTCTTCACAGAATTGGAAAAAACTACTTTAAAGTTCATATGGAACGAAAAAAGAGCCCGCATTGTCAAGTCAATCTTAAGCCAAAAGAACAAAGCTGGAGGCATCACACTACCTGACTTCAAACTATACTACAAGGCTACAGTAACCAAAACAGCATGGTACTCTTACCAAAATAGAGATATAGACCAATGGAACAGAACAGAGCCCTCAGAAATAATACTACACATCTATAACTATCTGATCTTTGACAAACCTGACAAAAACAAGAAATGGGGAAAAGATTCCCTATTTAACAAATAGTGCTGGGAAAACTGGCTAGGCATATGTAGAAAGCTGAAACTGGATCCCTTCCTTACACCTTAAACAAAAATTAATTCAAGATGGATTAAAGATTTAAATGTTAGACCTAAAACCATAAAAACCCTAGAAGAAAACCTAGGCAATACCATGCAGGACATAGGCATGGGCAAGAACTTCATGTCTAAAACACCAAAAGCAATGGCAACAAAAGCCAAAATTGACAAATGGGATCTAATGAAACTAAAGAGTTTCTGCACAGCAAAAGAAACTACTATCAGAGTGAACAGGCAACCTACAGAATGGCAGAAAATTTTTGCAATCTACTCATCTGACAAAGGGCTAATATCCAGAATCTACAATGAACTCAAACAAATTTACAAGAAAAAAAACAACCCCATCAACAAGTGGGCAAAGGATATGAACAGACACCTCTCAAAAGAAGACATTTATGCAGCCAACAGACACATGAAAAAATGCTCATCATCACTGGCCATCAGAGAAATGCAAATCAAAACCACAATGAGATACCATCTCACACCAGTTAGAATGGCAATCATTAAAAAGTCAGGAAACAACAGGTGCTGGAGAGGATATGGAGAAATAGGAACACTTTTACACTGTTGGTGGGACTGGTTCAAACATTGTGGAAGACAGTGTGGCGATTCCTCAGGGATCTAGAACTAGAAATACCATTTGACCCAGCCATCCCATTACTGGGTATATACCCAAAGGAATATAAATCATGCTGCTATAAAGACACATGTACACTTATGTTTATTGCGGCACTACTCACAATAGCAAAGACTTGGAACCAACCCAAATGTCCAACAATGATAGACAGGATTAAGAAAATGTGGCACATATACACCATAGAATACTATGCAGCCGTAAAAAATGATGAGTTCATGTCCTTTGTAGGGACATGGATGAAGCTGGAAACCATCATTCTCAGCAAACTATCTCAAGGACAAAAAACCAAACACCGCATGTTCTCACTCACAGGTGGGAATTGAACAATGAGAACACTTGGACACAGGAAGGGGGACATCACACACTGGGGCCTGTTGTGGGGTTGGGGGAGGGGGTAGGGATAGCATTAGGAGATATACCTAATGTAAATGAAAAGTTAATGGGTGCAGCACACCAACATGGCACATGTATACGTATGTAACAAACCTGCACGTTGTGCACATGTACCCTAGAACTTAAAGTATAATTAAAAATATATATATTTTATATATATATATAAAGAAAAGGAGCTTGTTTGAGGCTGTTAGACAGAAGGAGTACTTGACCATCAAAGAATACTTGACCATCACCTGCCTCTATAAACGCACTGCAGCACATGTATCTTTATCCCTTTTCCTAACCCAGCTAGTAAGAACACCTACAATAATCAGATGTTGAGCTTTTATTTTCCATTTCTACAGAGGTAGAAAAAAACACCAGATTAGTTGATAAAAGTAATCCCATCTTTCTTTCTAAATGTGATACACTTGTGAGCAAAATGGAGAATATGCAGCTACAATTTCAAGCTACTAAATGCTTGCTCAATAATGATACAGAGTTTGAATTAGAGGCAAATTGGTCAAAGAGCCAACTGCCAAATGGTATTTCAAAATATCATTTTCTGTCTGATAGAATGTGCTGGGAAAGGCACAGCATCACTTCTGTGGTATTTTTGCCAAGAATGCTGATATGGTTTGGTTCTGTGTCCCCATCCAGATCTCACCTTGAGTTGTCATAATCCCCATGTGTCAAGGGAGGGGCCAGGTGGAGACAATTGAATGATGGGGCGGGTTCCCCCATGCTGTTCTTTTGATAGTGAGTTCTCATGAGATTTTGTAGTTTTAAAAGGAGATTTTCCCCACTTCACTCTGCTCTCATTCTCGCTCCTGCCACCCTGTGAAGAGGTACCTTGCACCATGATTGTAAGTTTCCAGAGGCCTCCCCAGCCAAGCAGAACTGTGAGCCAATTAAACCTCTTTTCTTTATAAATTACCCAGTCTCAGGTATTTCTTCACACCAGTGTGAGAATCGACTAATACAAATGCAGAACCTCAATATAATCATGAGAAAACATCATACAAATCAAGACTGAGAGACATTGCATAAAGTAACTGACCAATACTTTTTAAAAGTGCCAAGGATGTGAAAGACAAGGAAAGACTAAGGAACTGTCACAGATTTCAGAAGACTAAATAACGTCACAACAATTAAATTCACTGTGGGAAAATTGAGTTGATTCTAGAATAAAAAATCCATCAGTTGCCAAATGGGTAATGTTTGAATTAGGTCTCTCGTTTACTTAACAGTATTGTACCAATGTTAATTTTCTGCTTTTAAAAATTGGACTATGGTCATGTAAGATGTTAGGGGAAGTTGGATGAAGAGGATGCAGACACACTACATGAGGGCCATTTTCTGGTTCATAGAAAGCCATCTTTTTGCTGTGTCTTCACCTGGCTGATGGGCAAGGGAGTTCTCTTGGGCCTATTTTCCAAGGGCACTAATCCCATTTATGAGGGCTCTGCCCCCATGCCCTAATCACCCCTCAGTGGCCCCAAATCCAAATACCCTCTCATTGGGGATTAGGTTTAATATATCTATAGGAGAATCTTAACTTGAAAAACATAAAGACAAACTGCTATATCTTCTGAGCCTTTTTTGAAAAATTATGTCCCTCTGCATGGTTTCTTCCTTATTTTCCTAAAAGATTTTCTACTAATAGCACACAGGAAAGCCCATCTCCATAATGCAAAAAAAGATGTAAAAATTAGTTTTAAAATATTATTTCTACTTTCTACTTAAAGCAGGGAAAGAGGCTGCTAAATCAGGCATGCAAATTAAAATCTGTAGAAGGGAATCCAAAGAAATGATCTCAGGTCTAAAAATTTAGATATTATGAAACACCAGTTGAATTTGTTTGCTTCCTCAGTCTATTAAGAACTCTCTTCAGTGGTGTTATTACACTGCTTTTCAGTGAGCAAAGTTGGTTTAGACAAATGTCTAATGTAAGACAGATGGACTTGTGCTACCACTAATGGAATTCCCTTCCCCATCCAATATGAAAAAGTATGAGGCTTCCAGCAATGAGACAATGACATATTCTTTTACTACCAAATCTTTTTGAGAGAAAAGTTGAATGTTTACTTAGTAAATACAGTTTATTTATTATAGTCACATTAACAGATGTCAGACTGAAAATACATCAGCCCTCCCTACCACCATGTTAGCAAGCATCCTGCAAATCTATAAAACAAATTTCATCCATGTTTCCATATTTTTTCTCTATTATTCATCATAATTTTTACCAGAATTATATGTGTGGTAATAAAAGAGACATGTACTTTTCCTAAAATCAATGTGTTTCTGCATCTTTAAGTCCATGATTGAGATTCTGCATATTTATTTTGACACAAGAAGTATGGTTAATTTAACTGCATATGAAATATTAAAAATTCAGCTGTACACCTAAATTAAAAAGAAAAATGACAGGGTGCACTTACGGGAGTTTTTCCACCATTGGCACTTTGGACTGCAACACACTTTACCAGATAATAGTCACATCTCATGATTCTCCAGAAACACTTTTCACATGCCATAATTATATCAACCCAAAGTGGAACTGGATTTGAAGTAAAGTCACAAGCTTAGAGGGCCCAAGCAAAGTTTGCAAAGAAAAGATCTTAAAGAAAAACAGTATTCTACATTTGGGGCAAATACTGGATTAGACTCCAATGCCTAATCAACACCATAAAGATCAAAATAAGTGTGATGTACACAGGGTAGAGCTTTCTTTCTTGGATATAAGAGAAACCAAGAAGCAGCCAGTATGTTGGCACCATAGTATCACCCGGGACTCATGGGTCTGTCTTTCTCTGTCCTCTTAGCACATGGTTTCCAATATCAAGGTCCCCTCATTGCCAAGATGTCTGCTGAGCTTCTGAACATCACATCTATATTGGAAAGAAGAAAGCAAGGCAGAAAGACCCTCATAGCTTAACAGATCCATTTAAAAAGTACCAAGATATACCACACAGCATTTACTATACCTCATTGACCTCAACCACACCTAGCTGCAAGAGAAGCTGGAAACATTAAGTCTACAGGGCAATGTTCTGGTTTAAAATAAAAAACAATTGGGAGAATAAATGTTAGGGTAGAAAATTAGCAGTCCTTGCCATTCTTATAAGAACACAATAGTTCTCTTTTCATTTTTTCCATTAACTAGTACAGAAACAGCTCAGAAATTATGAAGTATAAAAAGTTTTACAGAGTGAAGACTTTCACACCCACCCTTGTCTCCATCTACCAGTTTCCACCCACTACAAAACACTTTTATTCTGTTTTTTATATCTCCTTCTAGTTCCTTTATGCAAATATATGCAAATGTGATTATTCTTGCCTTCTTTCTAGGGGATATTTCCAAATCAACCCATAGAGCACATCTTTCTCCTCCTCCTCTTTTTCTTCTCCTTTTTTTTTAAAAATTTTTTCTTTTACAGCTGCATAGTATTCTATGGCTGGCAGGGTTTATTTGACCAGTTTCCATTTTCAAATATTTGGTTTGGGATTTAATATTCTGCTTTTTATGCATCGTACAGAAGTAATTCCGTAAGATACATTACAGAAGCTGGACTTTCAGGGCAAAGGGCATATTTGTAATTTTGATAGTTATCATCAAGTTGCCCTCCTATAGGTAGTGTAATGATTTACACTCCCACCAGCAATATGTGAATGTGCCTATTTTCCCACAGCATCTCCTACAAAATACGTGTCAAGTTAATAGTTCTCTTTATCCTGAATGTTCTTTGTCAGTCTCTGGTTATATCCCATTTCATATGCAAAGGCAGAAATTCCTGGGCTGGACTTCACTATGGCAAGATGTGCATGAACAAATGTTTTAGCAAAATTTTGAATGTAATTGAATATTTGAAAGGTATCCACTCATTATGTACATCCTGTTCTACTAACTGGATGGTAGAGACCACTCCTTTAGCCCCCATCCTGTTTCATGAGAACTGGAAACTGGAAATCCCTGACACACACATTAGCCCCCCTCCATATTTGGCCACTCCTCAACAGTTATCTGCTTCTCTGCAGTTATATATTTTTATTTACATCATTTCTTATTCTCTTCCCTCCTTTCTACCTATCCAATTCCTTAAGTCTGCTCTATTTGTCTCTAAGATATCTCCCCATCCCCTGAATCCTTAGATACTTACACTGGTGCCACTTATGTAGCATTTACTCCTTGTAAATGATGTGAGTACAGTGATATGAGTACAGTCTTGCCTCCATAACTGGCTTAGGGATGAGGTACATCCTGCCTCCAGAACTGACTTCAGGTTGCAGATGATGTTGCATTCTTAAAAAAAAAAAAAATCTACCAATGCCTTCAGAGAAGCACTGATGTTAAGATACTCAGGAAGGCTCTCCTCCCACATCGCTAACCAAATCCTCACAGGTGAGTGATATCTGTCCTTTATGTTGTTCTTTAGTGTTCATCTTAGTCCCACCTTTTAGCAGTCTGCAGTTCACCTAGTGAATACGATTTTTTTAAATTAGCTTCTCGGGCAAGAAAATCCATCAGACTTAATACTATTCTTTGAAACACAGGCTGTAAAAACAAACATGAGATAGGTATAAACAGATTATTCTAATGGCAAGCATCTCCCTAAAGTCTTCAGGAAGAGGCTTTTAACCTTGCTAATTATCACTGCAATAGTGCACCATTAGAAAGTCTGAATAAAAGGATGACATTTTTTAAAATCCAAAATTCAAATAGTATGCCTTGTCTATATTACTTATGTTACTATACTGACTCTCTCCTTTAGACATATTTGATCAGCCTTTTATTGTATCCTAACTATATTTATACTGAATTATATACTGAAAACCAGAAATCCAACACACCAAGAGGTCCAGTTATGGCTGAATATTGAAGTCAACCTTCCTTGCATCTTTTATTCAAACCTGCTTTACAAGTGGTATGTGAAAGTTAGGCTTGAGTAAGTGCCAGTAATCATCACCTTTGGAAGTCATTAGGAAAAACAAGACACCTGAGCATTGACTAAAATAGGCAAATGAGTTATTGAATAAGTGACTGACCCTCATCTAATATGTATTTGGATCATCCAGTAATTTCATAATTGAAATTTAGCTTAATACATGACTTAAATAATTAAGTCAGCTTAATTTCCCCTTTACAGAGCATACTAATCTGTCCCAATGCAACTCACACGTTCGCATTTTGGAATAGTAGTCATTCATTTTCATTTTTGTTTCTCTCTATATAACATATTAAAATCATACACCACAACTGGATAGTAGTATGCACCATTATGATTTTGATAATTATGCACTGTGGTCACGTAAAAAATGTTCTTGTTCTTGGAGTATATGCACTGAATTATTTAAGGTGAAGGGCTATCCTGTCTGCAACTTACCGTGAAATGGTTCAGGAAAAAAAAATTAAGTGGATTGATATCTTGGTAGATATAATGAGGTAGCAGATGGAAAAAAATGAGAAACAATCAGTGAATTTGTGTGAAGGATGTATAGTTGTTCATTGTCTTGATCTTACAAATTGTTTGTAAGTTTGAAATTATATCACTACAAAGGATAAATGCTTCAGAGGATGAATACCCAGTTCTCCATGATGTGATCATTACGCATTGTATGCCCGTATCAAAACATGTCATGTACCCCATAAATATATAAACCTACTATGTACCCATAAAAATTAAAAAATAAAAAATAAAAAATAAGAAATTATGTCAAAAGTAAAAGTTACAAAAAAACCATAAAGGTATTCAGCTCAAAATCCTTATGCATGTATATACTCTTCTCTAATGAGGTTGTTTTATCATAACTCGGATTTATTTCAGCCTCTCTAAACTCCTACTACATCTGTTAATCAGCTTTTTCTTGCCAGAATATAATTATTATGAACTTGATTAGCTTACTATGTACTGGCTGACTACAAATAACAAATCAGCCAGCTTCTCCACCGGACCCGGTCATTCACTTGAGAAAGGACATTAAATATTTGAAGCTGCAGAATGACCTTGAGTGAACTGCACCAGTAACAAAACCAGGGCATTTAGAGGAATACGTGAACATCTCCAGGCCTCTAGTTACTTATTAAATGGTTCCCTGGTGACCCACGAGAGTTAATGCTCGCCCTTAAATAGCCAACTTACACTAGCAAGTGGCTTGGGCCCTGAGAATAGAAGGCAATTTAGACCATTATGTATTTCAGAAGTTGCCAGTGGACTTCCCAATGTCCAGCTCACTTTATCTGTAAACACAGCAGCCAGCTGACCTGGAGGCCTGACCATCAAGATAATTGTCTGCAATCTTCACTTTGCTCTGCCATCATAAACACAGAGCTACATGTGGGTATCAAGCCGCTAACTACAAAACATAACTTGTCCCTGATGGAGAATGTTAAGGCATTTCAAACTTTAAAATCACACTAGGGTATTTAGGAAAAATTAGTTTATAAAGAAAGTGTAAAATTGTAAATAATCAAGCAAAAATAACTCTAAATACTTTCAATAGCAAGTACAAAAAGAGATATTAAGAAACTACTTATCCGAGAATTTCAGGTGGTTCGTACATCCTGACTTGCTTAATTATTAACCAGGTTTCACAAAAAGGGCATTAGGAATGTATACCATGAACAAAACACAGGAATGCAGAGCATACTTCTGCAGTACACTGGTATTGCTGTCATCTGCCATTGAATTTAGTTTCTCAAAGAAATTGAATAAGAAATCTGTCTTTAGGTGTTGGTATGGAAGCTATATTTCTCATATATTTATATGTCAGGGGATGGGGTAAAGAAAATCAATGAAGTCATAAGTTTGCCATTAATTCAAGACTTGCTAAGAACATGCTACCTAGTTTTCATATCATAACCTTAAATCTTGGACATTCTATTAAAACTGCACTTCTCTTTCTCCTGCTTTTTCACACTTGTGCATTTTTTTTCCTGGAAAAACATTCCCTTGAAACATGGTAAATGGTTAAGTGTTGAGGTTTCTAAGGGATTCTGAGAATGACAAATATCATACATGGAAAGTTGTCAGTTCTTAAAATTGTCCAAGTTGAAATGGATATACATTTGTTGGATGAATCTCACTGTGAATAATACAACTGTTGAAAATTTGGGTGACTGAAAATTAAAGACATTGTCATATGCACGTTTCTTAAGACAATTTGGATGATAAATGTGTTACAGTTTTGACAAATTTTGTAATTTGATAGAAAATTTGAGTACATTCAACCACAAGTTCATTGTGTTTTCTATGACTAGATAAAAGTGTCGCCGCCTACATTTCAGGTGTAGAAGTGAAAGAGACCCATTTTCCTTGTGTAATATCTTTGTTATTATATAAATTTCATATGGAAATGTCTTATATCTACATGCACAATTAAAATCCTTCCTAATACTAATAAAGGAAACCCTACATCATGTTCATTTAGGCCATATTTTAAAATACATTTTATTGTGCACATTTAAGGTATATAACATGATATTATGTTTTATATATATATATATATTAAAATAGTTACTATAGTCAAACAAATTATCATATCCACTATCTCACATAGTTACCCATCCCCCAACTCTCCAATGGCAAAAGCAGCTATAGCTATTCACTTAGCAAAAATCTCGAACACAATACTTGGAAGCCATTATGCTAAGTGAAATAAGCATAATTTTCTGTGTCTGGCACAGACACAGAAAAAAAAGATTGCATGATTCACTTATATGCGGAATCCTAGAAGGAAACAGTCAAATGTACAGAGATAGAGAATGAAATAGTGGTTATCAGGAGCAGGATAGGCAACATTACTTTTGAATAAATATTACAACTATTCACCTCTTGGGACATTTCTCATTTCAATTTCTAAATCAGTTGCTTTATAGCAATATTTTCCTCTGAAACACTTACAAAATATTTGAATTACCTATCAAATCACAATGTCATCAATCATATACTAATTTTAGCAGTCTGCTACACAATACTGTAAGAATTCTAAGTTTAACTTCTGACATTCTATATCCTGATATATTCAAAGCTGATATGTTAACGTTTGACTCTTTAGCACATTTTATAAGACCCTAACAAAATTGGCTAAGAATAGTTTTGAAAGTGAAAACGTCGCAATACACTTCACTCTTTATATGGCTCAGAGATTACAAACATGGACGAAAATAGACAATTCCCAGGAAGTTTCCAAAAGAACTGTGGAAGTTTATAAATTGATGGCCACTCTTAAGAAAGAATTAGCACATAATAATGTCATAAACATACTTCTGTCTAGCAATCCACATTGCTCCTCTTTTAGTTTCTAATTTTTATAGGAAAATGCATCTCCTCTGCTAATTAGACTTAAACATAAAGCAGGAAAGGCATTTGCACGTAACCAACCCCAATTTTTTTTCTATTTATTTTCTTCTTATGGAAAGCAATCATCATAATTGTGTTCAACTGCATTATTGTTCCCAGTACTTCATCCTTCCCTGTGTCTACTTCCTTTGTAGCCCCTCCCACTAGACCATTTGATGTTGGGCTTGGCCATGTAACTTGCTTTGGCCAAAGGAATGTTAGTGGACAGTACACAAGGAAAGATTTCAAATGTACTTGTGCCATTGGTCTTGCTTTCTTGTATTTTGCCATCTATGAAAAGAAGCTTCTTCACATGGCTGCTGGCTCTTAAACCTGGGCCCCACAACAAACACATGTTGGGAAGACCAGAGCCTCATACACATCCTGAGCCTGGAACAGAAAATGCCTAAGACAAAGCTTGACGTGAAGCTTATGTGAGCCCAGCCTAAATCAGCCAAACCTCAGCCAAGCCACGCATGAGAGAGCTAGAGATAACAACCACTGTTACATGCCACAGAGATTCTGTGGTTGTTGGTTACACAAATAACTGATTCATACAGCAATAAAGTGGTAAGGTTTTATCATATCTAGTTTTAACATACATATATGTACACAGTCACACATAACACCACCACCACCACCACCACCAAATATGTAGTGGTCCTATGCACTCATAGATTCAGTTATCTACTTTTCATGCTTTCTGTATTACTATATGGGGAGTAGGAATTGCTGGCTCTGGTGTCAGGAACTCATCCATCATAAAAATTTATCATTCATAATATCCGTGTGAGAAGCAGAAGGAAAAAATGCCAGCACTCCAACAGCATCCACATTGCAGATCTGGACCTTTTCTACAAGTCTAAGTGCAGAAGAATGGCTGAGGATGAGATCAGCAAGGAAAACTCTAGGAAGTGGAGAGATACCTGCCAGTCACTACTGTTAAAAAATAGACGATGGACCTATAGTGGCAAACTCCATCTTAAAGTATGTGATTCTAAAGAAGAATCTATGAACCAAATTAGAACTGTCATAACAGAAATGGGAGGAGGCACCAGAGTTTAGAACTTTAGATACATGCAAAGGACATGGTGGCTGGTTGGATATTTGATGTGAAGGAGAGGAAGAGCTACAGGTGACTCCTAGTTTTCAATATGGGAAAGGGGAAGAAAGGAGACATGGTAAACTAATACAGGAATAAAGGGTGGGACTGGGGGAGGTGAAGGATCATAAGTTCATCATGGGGTGTTGAGTCTGAGGGTTTGCAGGGCAGCAAAGTACACAGAAGGCAATTGGAAAATAGGCTTGGCATGCCAGGTAAAGATAGTGATCAGGACTACAGACTGAGACTAGGTGATAATTCACCTCATAGTAGTGGATGAGGTCATCCAAGAACAAATGTAAAGTAAGAAGAGTCCCATATAAGCTTTAGAAAGATGTACTGGTAAGAATCCCTATAGGGATCTCTGCTGACCAAGGTGCTCAGCCTGCTTAGTTCTGAAAGCCATCACCCCATTTAGGCTGGGGCCATCTAGCACTCCCAGCAATGACTACTGCCAACAGAGAGATTAAGGCATGCCTGTTCCTAGGAGATATGGGACTCCTCTAACTGTGAACTTTGATGCTCCTTCAGGTTTCCTGAAACTTCATGCCAGTCCAGGACACTTCCAACCAACCTTGTCTCCCTCTCTCCTTCACTCAGGGTCAAATGTGCATCACAGTCTGAGGGCTCTGTCAGCTGCCCCCAGCTGCCTCCCTTTTTTCACTCGCACAGGTTTTCTCTCTAATAAGGTTTTTGCACATTTAATCCCATGATGATGTCTGCTTCTCAGAGAATCTGGACTTATCACAGGCAAATAGAGAAACTAGATGATGTTCCTCCTTTTATTGTTTCAGTCATGATGCTGAAACAAGCATCACGGGGGCAAACTCACAGAGATTTGCAAGACATTTTGTACATTCTGCACATAGAAAAACTTTCTCTACAAGGCTTATGTCACAGTCAATATAGAATAAAGACATGAAACAGCCTACTTCTCCATTAGAGAATACTCACACAATTCATAACCTAAACAATATAGTAAAAGTAAAGACAACATCAATTAACATCAATTTCAAGGTATATGCAACTAAAACAAACACAAAACTTCAGATTATTCTTAAATTTATTTCACACACTCAGGAAAAATGTATAAATAATCACATAGAGAAAATTTTGAATTATATCTCTCCAGATGTAAAACACTTCCCTGAGTATATTCCATAACAGAAAGTTAGAAAGCTAAAATCCACAAAATAATGCAACATTAAAAGATAACCCAAAAAGAAATCCAAACTTTGGGATAAAATCAGAAAGTATAAACCATTTTAGTGAGCTCCTTTTCCACCTCAAAAAAAATTCACTGAAACAAAAGCGAAGTATAGGGTGAAAAACTCTACTTTTTGAAAGTGCCACAATCTCATTCCAGAGGACACTGGAATACTACTAACAACGTTTTGAGGTAGAAAACAAGTGAGACCAAAAGATTTTAAAGGTTTTCAAGGGAGAATTGATACACACAATTTTGATAGATATCCTCATTCATGCAGCAATTTAGGAAACAGAACATTCATTCATTTCCTTTAAAATTAACTAGACGGCAAAATCTAGCTAACCAAAAAGTCAATCAAATTAAAGAAGTCATGAATGAGGAGTCTGAGACAAAGCACTGCTGTTCAGAATGAATCCACTTAATGCTTTAACATTCTTTTTTGTAATAAGTAATTATTAGTGATAAATAAATAAAAACAAATTAAAGAGACAGAGTTACCAGTCTCCCAGTGCCCTTCCTCTCCTGTCCCCTCTCACACAAGGTAAACATTTTCCTTAAAGTGTTTATATATAAAGTGTTTATATATATAAAATAAGTAATAAATAAATATATGTATATATACACAAACAAATATAATCTTATCTCTTTACACACACTTTCTGGACATGAACATTTTACCGATCAACATACCTTAGAAATCTTCCTAAATCAATACAGAGATCTCTTCTTTTTCCCTTCTCTACCTTTTCCTTCTGCTCCCCATTAGCTGAAAAATATTTCACTGTATGAATGTTCCATAATTTATTTAACCAGTCCCTTACTGATGGACACTTAGGTTCTTTGTAAGTTAGAATGTTATAAGCAGCTCAGCTGACTAACCTTGTAAACACATCATTTTTGTGCACATGCAGATATATATAAAAAGATAAATGCCCAGAAAAGAAATTATTGGGTCAAAAGCTAAGCACATGTAGTTTTGGTAGATATCACTAAACTACACTCCTCCCAGCAATGCATAATAAAGCCTGTTTCCCCACAGCCTTAACATTAAAAGGATGAGTTAATGTCCTTTGCAGGGACATGGATGAAGCTGGGAACCATCATTCTCAGCAAACTTACACAGGAACAGAAAACCAAACACCACATGTTCTCACTCATAAGTGGGGGTTGAACAGTGAGAACACGTGGACACAGGGAGGGGAACATCACACACCAGGGCCTGTTGGGGAGTGGGGGGCTAGGGGAGGGATAGCATTAGGAGAAATACCTAATGCAGATGACGGGTTGATGGGTGCAGCAAACCACCATGGGACATATATACCTATGTAACAAACCTGCACATTCTGCACATGTATCCCAGAACTTAAAGTATAATAATAATAATAATAATAATAATAATAATAATAATAAAGGTATTGCCAAACTTTCGAAATGTTGACAATCTGATAGGTAAGAAATGGAAACTCAGTGTGGTTACAATTTACATTTCTACTATCATGAATGGGTTTTCTTATGCAACTGAAGACTTTTTGCATTTCCAATTTTAATTGAATTGCTAAGTTTCTTATAAAATCTGATAAAATTAAGTTTGAAGAATTTCAGAAATTATTGCCACAAAGCATCCTAGCAGGGCAGAAGCCTCAAAAATATAAAAATAATATAACTAACAAATTCAGAGGCTGAGATGGTAAAGTAAAAAAGAAGCCCACCTAATCTAATTTCTTTGTCTTTCATAACAAAATTAGAGAGGTTAAAGGAAAATTTTTAGTTACATAAGTAATGATGTAAACTTCAATTTCTTCATAATCATTTCTTATGAACTTTAGAGGGATCTTTTAGAAACAACTTATTCTGCAGTGAAATTGTTGCTAGAGTTCAGCCACTTAGATTATATTCAGCTTCTTTTTTATGCTTAATTTCAAGTAAAGTTAAATTTAAGATGTTAATTAAATTAGTATGCATCCTATATTCTAGTTGTTCTAAAAGCACTCCTATTTATGCATTATCTTTCTATGTGTATATATGCACAGGCTGATACCTGAGTTTGTAGTCTCTAAAAGTTAATTAACAGCATAAGTCTCTAGGTGAAGGTATCTGGAGTCCATTTTATTTAATTTCATTCATTCATTATTATTACTTCAAATTTTATAATATTACATATCATTATTACCCCAAAAACATATTGAAAATCTAGAAAAATTCAAAATTTTCAAGATGGAAGAATGCAGTTTACAGTCAAACCAAGATAACTATTTTTGGTTCTTTTTTAACCAATATTTGTGGTTATTCAAATAGTAAGCTAGTTAGGATACAGAGTTAACTTTTATCTCAGTGGCTGCAAATAAGATAACTTTGAATGCTGATAAGCTTAAATTAGTGAAGTTTTTTCTATATTTCAAAAACATATGGAAACCTGTGGATTGTGAAACATGCACATCTGATTCACACCCTGATATCCCTGGAGACGGACATTCATACTTGACATTCCGAACTAAAACATGTCCATGAGTAAATCAAAACTTGTTTGGGTTTATTTTATTTAAAGTCTCCTTCTGTAAGCCACACTTATAAAACTAAACAAAATTTCTTCTCTAGTATATTTCAAATTCATCATAAACATATCAAGGGGTATCAAAATATGCCTAAGTTATTTTAACACTGTGACTGGCATGGCATTAGAATAGTCCTTATGTTTGTTTATTTCTTTTATGTAGTAGCTGAAAGATCAAATGCATTGGAAAAAAACTTAAATGTAGTACATTATTACAGAGCAGAGAGTTTTAGATTAATCAAATTTTACCTTGTGATGTATAGATAATAAATACATTTACATATATTTCACTTCACTTTAGCAATTTTGTGAGTTAGACAAAAATTAGTTTTTTTCCATTTTACATATGCCACTTAATGATGTTAAAATATTTGCTAAAGCCACATAGCTAGTTAAAGGAAGAACCAGGACTGGAACCCTGAAGGAAAGATAGCCAATCTCCTTCTCTACAAGGATGAAGCCAGATGGATCATGTATCTATTACCGCAACACTGCCACATAACAAACAACTACAAAAGCTCAACAGCATACAGCAAAGCCTCATCTTTGCTCATGTGTGTATGGGACATATCAATGGTTCTGCTGATCTGGGCCCAGCTCAGCTGAATGCAGCTTCACGGGCTCAAATACCAAAAAAAACAGTTCTTTTTTAACCAGAAGAGTCATATTTGTGGTTATTCTAATAGTTAGTTAAGGATATAGAGTCAAATTTTATCTCAGTGGCTGCAAATAAGATAATCAACTGTGCAGCCAGGCACGGTGGCTCACACCTGTAATCCCAGCACTTTGGGAGGCTGAGGTGGGCGGATTGCTTCAGGTTAAGAGTTCAAGACCAGCCTGGCCAACATGGTGAAACACTGTCTCTACTAAAAACACAAAAATTAGCCGGGCATGGTTGCGGGCGCCTGTAATCCCAGCTACACAGGAGGCTGAGGCACAAGAATTGCTTGAACTTGGGAGGCAGAGGTTGCAGTGAGCCGAGATCGTGCCACCGTACTCCAGTCTGGGCAATAGAGTAAGACTCAGTCTCAAAAAAAAAAAAAAAGAAAAAAAAGATAATCAACTGTGATCAACTGGCAAGTCAAATGGGAGCTTGATGGTATAGGATGACTCGTCTCTTTTCCACATGATCTTTCATCTTCTGGCAGGATGGCAGGATAATCTGAGCTTGTTCTCTTGACAGACGTAGGGGTCCACAGGATAAAAGAGAAACACAAAAGGCCACTGGAAGACCAAGCTCAGATATGACACACCATCACTTCTACCACATTTTACCAGACAAAGAAACTCACAACCCCAGCCTAGTTTTAAAGGGTGAGGAAATAGTCTCCAACTCTCAATGGGAGGATCTACAAAGTCAAACTGCAAAGAGGTATGCCACAGGAAAGGGAATATTAGAGCTACCCATCCTTCACACTCAACACTGGAAAGCTGCTGCACACCTGGTTCACATGGTTTTATATCTGCTAGAATTGCTAGTAATGAAA
The DNA here is from genome assembly GCF_000001405.40 of Homo sapiens. NCBI lineage: Eukaryota > Metazoa > Chordata > Mammalia > Primates > Hominidae > Homo > Homo sapiens. The sequence continues at coordinate 8,182,141 of NC_000020.11, read as the reverse complement.
AACTTTTGATCTGTGTCTCAGAATGATATGAGACTAATTCCTGTGAACGCTATTGCCCCTGTGTCTTACAGGGATGTCACTCACTAAAAGATGTGGTTTTTCATCTTTATGGGTATATACTGGAGAAATCTCTTAAATATCAGTATTAGTGGTAGCTTTTTTGTTTCTTTTTAGACACAGGATCTTACTCTGTAGCTCAGGCTGGAGTGCAGTGGCACAATCATAGCTCACTGTAACCTGTAACTCTTGGGCTCAAGTGATCCTCTGCCTCACCAACCCAAGTAGCTGGGACTATAGATGTGATTCGCCATGCCCAGATATTTTTTATTTTTATTTTTGTAGACATCCTTTGTGGCTCAGGATGGTCTTGCACTCCTGGACTCAGGTGATCCTCCTGCCTTAGCCTCCCAAAGCACTGGGATTACAGGTGTGAGCCACCACGAACAGCCAGTGGTAGCTATTAATAGCTATGGTAGGCATTAGATTCCTGAACAGCTAGTCTGTTCATTCTAGTCACCACTGAGAATCCTTGTATATACTTCTAGGAAACTCAGCTAAAATATAGATCACTTGGACTAAAAAGGCCAAGTGCAGGGTCTTTTGGCATATTGGCTTATAAGCTCTACCTCTGGTTTCAGCTATTTTGTCATATGCTAGTTTTCCCTTTGCTTAAACTTCTTCCTTTTAAAAAATAATTGTGTATTGTTATTGCTTTTTTTATTTCAACAATAAGGTAAAGAAATCATAAAGAAATCTGAAGATGCACAATGGCATTGGAAAGAAACTAAATCCCACACACATTCCTAGCATTCCCCAAAGCAAAGCACTGTTACAATTCTGACATACATTTTTCTAGTCTTTTTTTCTTATTCTTTTTTTTTTTTTTTTTTTTTGAGACAGAGTCTCATTCTATCGGCCAGGCTGGAGTGCAGTGGCATGATCTCGGCTCACTGCAACCTCCGCCTCCCAGGGTCAAGCAATTCTCCTGCCTCAGCCTCCCGAGTAGCTGGGATTACAGGCATGCCACCACGCCTGGCTAATTTTTGTATTTTTAGTAGAGACGGGGTTTCGCCATGTTGGCCAGGCTGGTCTCGAACTCCTGACCTCAGGTAATCCGCCTCTCTCGGCCTCCCAATCATATTCTTCTTTACACACACACGCACACATACATACACACACACACACACACACACACACACACACTTTTACATTATGAATGTATGAAAAAATGACAAATGCAATTCCTTTTTTAAATTTAATGTCTCATAAGTATTTCCTGTGGCATTAATTATTCACACATAGCATGAGTTTTAAGGGTTGCAATGTTTAGAGGTACCATGATTCAGGCAATCCCATATCACCAGATAGTTAAAGACTGTTAGGCTCATTTATTGTTATCCTAGATGGCATATATTCTTCTGAGTTAACCCAAATTTTCATTTGGAATTTAAAAGGAAATTTACAAATACATTTTTTTCAATGAACTGGACTTTGGATTCCTGAAAGTATATTACATGCCCCTGTATTCATCACTTTTGGCCTATTCCTTAATCTCTGTTTCCAAATTCAACCAAATTCAACTCTGTTTCTTATATAGCCCTGGGAATATGGTACCATTCCTACTAAAACTATTCTAAAAATCTGAGGAGGAGGGTCTTCTGCCTAACTCATTCTGTGAGGCCAGCATCATTCTGCTACCAAAATCTGGCAAACACACAATAAAAAAGGAAAACTTCAGGCCAATATCCTTGATGAACTCAGATACAAAAATCCTTAACAAAATACTAGCAAACTGAATTCAGTAGTACATCAAAAAGCTAATCCACCATGATCAAATAGGCTTTATCCCTGGGATGCAAAATTGGGTTAACATATGCAAATCAGTAAATGTGATTTATCACATAAATAGAACTAAAACCAAAAACCACACGATTACAGGCTTTTAAAAAATATCAGCATCACTTCACGTTAAAAGCCCTCAACAGGCCGGGCGCGGTGGCTCACGCCTGTAATCCCAGCACTTTGGGAGGCCGAGGCGGGCGGATCACGAGGTCAGGAGATCGAGACCATCCTGGCTAAAACGGTGAAACCCCATCTCCACTAAAAATACAAAAAATTAGCCGGGCGTAGTGGCGGGCACCTGTAGTCCCAGCTACTTGGGAGGCTGAGGCAGGAGAATGGTGCGAACCCGGGAGGCGGAGCTTGCAGTGAGCCGAGATCCCGCCACTGCACTCCAGCCTGGGCGACAGAGAGGGACTCCGTCTCAAAAAAAAAAAAAAAAAAAAAAAAAAAAAAGCCCTCAACAAACTAGGCATTGAAGGCACATATCTCAAAATAATAAGAGCCATCTATGAAAAACCCACAGTCAATATTATACTGAACAAGCAAAAGCTGGACGCATTCCCCTTGAGAACTGGGACAAGAACAAGACAAAGATGCCCATTCTCACCACTCCTATTCGACACAGTACTGGAAGTCCTAGCCAGAGCAATCGGGCAAGAGAAAGAAATAAAAGACATGCAGATAGAAAGATAAGATGTCAAACCATCTCAGTTTGCAGACGATATGATTTTATACCTAGTACCTAGAAAACCCTATTGCCTCTGCCCAAAAGCTCCTTGATCTAATAAACAACTTCAGCAAATTTTCAGGATACAAAATCAATGTATGAAATTCGGTAGCATTTCTATACACCAACAATATCAATGCTGAGAGCCAAATAAATAATGCAATCCCATTCACAGTAGCCACAAAAAAAGAATAAAATACCTAGGAATACAGCTAACCAGAGAGTTGAAAGATCTCTATGGTGAGAATTACAAAACACTGCTCAAAGAAATCAGAGATGATACAAACAAATAGAAATATATTCCACGCTTATGGATAGGAAGAGTCAATATTGATAAACTGGCCATACTGCCCAAAGCAACGTACAAACTCGATGCTATTCTTATCAAACTGCCAATGACATTCTTCAGAGAATTAGAAAAAAATATTCTAAAATTCATATGGAATCAAAAAAGAGCCTGAATAGCCAAAGCAATCCTAAGCAAAAGAACAAAGCTGGAGGCATCACATTACCTGACTTCAAACTATACTACAAGGCTATACAGTAACGAAAACAGCATGGTACTGTTACAAAATAGACACGTAGACCAATGGAACCGAATAGAGAGCCCAGAAATAAAGCCACACACCTACTACCATATGACCTTCGACACAGTCGACAAAACAAGCAATGGGGAATGGATTGCCTATTCAATAAATGGTGCTAGGATAACTGGCCAGCCCTATGCAGAAGATTGAAACAGGACCATTTCTTTAAACCATATACAAAAATAAACTCCAAATGGATTAAAGACTTAAACGTAAAACCGAAAACTGTAAATACCCCTGAAGAAAACCCAGGAAATATCACTCTGGACATAGGCCCTGGCAACAATTTTGTGTCGAAGATGCCAAAAGCAATTGCAACGAAAACAAAAATTGACAAATGGGATCTAATTTAAACCAAAGAGCTCCTTCACAGCCCAAGAAACTATCAACAGAGTAAATAGACAGCCTGCAGAATATGAGAAAACATTTGCAAACTGAAAAAGGTCTAATATCCAGAATCTATAACAAATTTAAATTAACAAGAAAAAGCAAACAACCCCATTAAAAGTAGGCAGAGGACATGAACAGAGACTTTTCAACAGAAGACAAATACATGACCAACAAGCACATGAAAAAATGATGAATGTCACTAATCATGAGAGAAATGCCAATCAAAACCACAATGAGACACCATCTCACACCAGTCAGAAAAATCAAAAAACACTTATACACTGCTGGTGGGAATGTAAATTAGTTCAGAGCCACTGTGGAAAGCAGTTTGGCTATTTCTCAAAGAATTTAGAACTACCATTCAACCCAGCAACCCCATTATTGGATATATACTCAAAGGAATATACATAATTCTATCATAAAGACATATGCACATGTATGTTCATTGCAGCACTATTCACAAAAACAAAGACATGAAACCAACCTAAATGCCCATCAACAGTAGCCTGGATAAAGAAAATATGGTACATATACACCACAAAATACTATGCAGCCATAAAAAAGAGTGAGATCATGTCCTTTGCAGCAACATGGATGGAGCTGGAGGCCATTACCCTAAGTGAACTAACGCAGGAACAGAAAACCAAACATCACGAATGTTCTCATGTATAAGTGGGAGCTAAACATTGAGTACACATTTCTGTCCAGAAAGAAGGGAATAATAGACACCGGGACCTACCTGACAGTAGAGAGTGGAAGGAGGGTGAGGATTGAAAAACTATCTATTGGGTACTATGCTTATTACCTGGGTGATTAAATAATATGCACAGCAAATCCCTGGGACCTGTAATTTTTCTATAGAACCAACTTGCACATATACCCCTGAAAATAAATAAAAGTTTTTTAAAAAGCTGAATCACATACCAGAACAAACATGAGTAAAGTAAAATTTTAAAAATAGTAATAATAATAATAATAATACTTGGGCCCTGCATAGCACCCTTCATAAACAGAGGGTGAAGTTGCTGATTTCTGCCCTTGTGTCTTATAGGAGGGAGTAGCAGCCTAGAATAGAAACAGCAGCAATAAAGCCATATTGCCCAAAATCATTTCTCCCAGAGCAGTCATATTTATTTGAATTAACATCATCGTCTTAGTCCAGGTAGGCTATTATAACAAAATGCCGTACTTAGACTGGGTAATTTATCAACAGAAATGTATTCCTCACTGTTCTGGCGGCTGAGAAGTCCAAGATCAAGATGCTGGCAGATTCAGCGTCTGGTGATTGCCCATTTCTCACAGAAGGTGCCTTCTATGAATGCTCATGTGGTGGAAAGGTAAAAAGACTCTCAAGCCTCTTTTATTAGGGCAAAAATCCCATTCATGAGGGCAGAGCTCTCATGACCTAATCACTTCCCAAAAGACTCACCTTTTAATACTATCACTGTGGGGGTTAGGTTTCAACATATGATTTTTTGGGGGGACAAAAACATAAGAGTTAAATCTGTCAGCCATTTGCACTCTCGTGTAAAATTATTTTAATTTGATTTTAATACCAACAAACATTGACATACCATGAGATATTTTTCTATAAACATAATATTATACTACTGATTACTGAGAAGGGAGTGGTGATAATATATTATGAAAAACTCTTAATAAAGTAATATTCATTCTATCACTTTTGTCTAGAGATGTTCTGAGGTCAAGGCTAATACTGAGAGTCCTCAGGCACTACTCTGGAGGTTCCTTTTAATTTCATTGAAATTTTATTGAGATAATTACAGATTTCATATGCAGTTGTAAGTAATAATATAGAGGGAGCCCTTTTACCTTTTACCCAATTTTCCCTAATGGTAATATCTTGCAAAACTATAGTACAATATCACAACCAGGACATTGATATTGATACAATCTATTAATCTAATTCAGATTTCCCCCGTTTGACTTGCGTGTGTGGGTGTGCATGTGTGTGTATTTAATTCTATACAAGTTTATCATCTGTAGGTTCATGTATTCCTCACCACAGTCAAGATATAGAACAGTATCGTCACCACAAGCATTCCTCATGTTGCTCTTTTATAACTACAGCAGCCTCCCTCCCTGCCTACGCCTGTGCCTAACACTTTACAGACACAAAATTGTCCCTCATTAAAATTTTGCCATTGCAAAACTCTTATATAAATGGAATCATACAGTATGAAACCTTTTGAGATTGGCTTTTTCCATTCAGCATACTGGAGACTTATCCAGGCTAAGTACACCAATAGTTCATTGCTTTTTATTGCTGAGTAGCATATGTCACAGTATGGACATGCCATCTTTATTTAACCATTTGCTCACTGAAGGCATCTGGTCTATCTTCAGTTTGGGCTATTATTAATAAAGCTGCTTTGAATATTTGTGTACAGATTTTTTGTGTGAACATACTTTTAAAACATGTTTCTGGGATCAACGCTTCATAATACAATAGTTATATCATATAGTAACTACATGTTTAGTTTTATAAGAAACTGCCAGACTGTTTAACCTACCATTGATCTGTTCCTCCACACCCTTGCCAGCATTTGGTAATGTCACTATTTTAATTCCAGCCATTCTGATAGGTGTGCAGTGAGAACTCACTGGGGTTTTAATTTGCATTTCCCTAATGGCTAATGAAGGCGACATCTTTTCATATGCTTATGTGCCATCTGTGTATCCTCTTTAGTGGATTGTCTACTTAGACCTTTTACCCATTTTCTAAATGGATTGTTTGGTTTAGGTTTTTTGTTTTTTGTTTTTTTTCCTGTGAATTTGAAGGTCCTTTATGTATTCTAGATACAAGTCCTTTGGCAGATATGTGGTTTACAAACACTTTCTCTCAGTCTGTAGCTTGTCTTCTCATCCTCTTTTTAGGATTTTACACAGAGAAATTATTTTAATTTTAATGAGATCCAATTTTTCTTCTTATGAATCATGGATTTGATGTCAAAGAACTCTGCCTAGATCCATATTCCAAAGATTTTCCTATGTGTTTTCCTAAAAGTTTTACAGTTTTATGTTTTAGATTTATATCTAGGATCTATTTGAATTCATTTTTATATGAAGTGTGAAGCTTATGTTGAACTTCATTTTATACTTTTTTTTTTATTTTTACTTATTTTTTGCCTATGAATATCCAATGTCTCCATCATCACTTGTTGAAAATACTGTCCTTTGCCTTGTTGAACTAATTTTGCATGTTTGTAAAAGATCAGCAGAGCATATGTGTATGGGTCTATATCTAGGTTCTCTTTGCTTTTACCTTTAAGGTATTTATTCACATATTAGAGTTTACATCTGCCTTTTTATTATTTGTTTTCCATTTATTTACTCTGGTTTTTGTTCTGCTGTTTTCCTTTTCTTGCCTTCTTGGAGGTTAGTCAAATATTTTTTAGGATTTTATCTTGATTTCTTTATAAATTTTTTAAGTGTAAGGTTTTTGTTTGTTATTAGGTTGGTGCAAAAGTAATTGCAGTTTTTATTATTACTTTTAATATTTTTTAGAGATGGGGTCTTGCTCTGTCACTCATTCTGGAGTGTAGTGGTACAGTGACAGCTCACTGCCCCCTCAATTTCCTGTGCTAAAGTCATCTTCCTGCCTCAGCCTCCTGAGTAGCTGGGACTACAGGCGCATGTCACCACACCCATCTTTTTTATTTATTTTATTATTTTTATTTTTAACTTTTTGTAGGGATGGAATTTGCTATCTTGGCCAGGCTGGTCTCAAACTCCTGGCCTCATGCAATCCTCCTGCATTGACCTCCTAAAGTGTTGGGATTAGAGGCATCAGCCCTTGCACCTGGCCTAATACAATATGCATATGTGATTTATTACATTTTATGGGTATCAATATTTTACACTTCAGCTGAAGAGTGGAAATCATCTTACTTTCATTTAGGTCCCTTTACTGACTCCTACTTTTAAATAGCATTGCCTTGAGTATCGGATGCTAACATAATGTTTCAACCATCAAATATAATTTACAAACTGTTGAGGCATAGGATGGTCTATTGCTTGCACACATATTTCAGCTCTTTCCATTATTTTCTGTTTCTGATACTCCAAGTTTCCTTCTTCTATACTTTCCTTTCTGTTTTATAAAATTCCATTAGTCAATCTTAATGGGTGGGTCTGCTACTTACAAATTCCAGTTTTCATCATCTGAGAGAAATCCTAGGAGGATATTTTCACTGGACACAGAAGTCACTGTTGACAGATACTTTCTTTCAGCCATTGAAAGATGCACTGCCTTCTGGTCTCCATGTTTCCGGATAAGAAACTGCTATCATTTGAATTGGTACTTCTCTGTAGTTAATGCATCATTTCTCTTAGTCTGCTTTGAAGATTTTTTTCCTTTGCCTTTGTTTTCAGAAGTTTACACATGATGTATCTTGGTGTAGATTTGCTAAGGTGTATCCTGTTTGAGGTGCGCTCAGATTCTTAGGTTGTGTTTTTCTGCCAAATTTGGGACATTTTCAGCCATGATTTATTCAAATATTCCTCAGCCCAATTCCCCTGGGTCTCTTCTGCAACTCCAGTGATAGAAATCTTAGAAATTTTGTTATTGTTCCACAGGTCCCCGGAGCTCAGTTCATTTTTAAAATCTATTTTATCTCTTCTGTTGTTCAGATTGAGTACATTCTGCCAATGTGTCCTTAATTCACTGACACTATCTTCTATCATTTCCACTCTACTATTGAACCCACCTATTGTGTTCTTTTATTTTGGCCATTGTATTTTTCAGTTTTATCCTTTACATGTGGTTCTTTTTAAAAACTTCTATTTTTTTGCTGAAGTTTTCTATTTTTGCACTTGTTTCAAAATAATTTGTTTTTGACTGCTGAAACATTTTTTATGGTGGCTGCTTTAAAATTCTTGTAAGATAATTCCAAAATCTGATCCATCTTGAGGTTGACTAAATTTTTCTGACTCAAGCCATGATCTTCTCAGCTCTTAGTATGATGAGCAACTTTCAGTTGTATCCTGGACGTTTTATTTTTGTATATTAGAAGACTAAATTCTATTCAAATCTTTCCTTTTAGCAGGTAGTCACCCTGGTTTAAGTTTATCACATGAGTTCTGGTCTACTTTTGTGGGTTGTCATTCCACCGATGGTTTAATTTTCAGAACCTTTGCTGTGTTATTTTGGTCTGCTTGGTTTAGATGATATGAGAGGGGCTTCCAGAGGTCCCTGTACCTGAGAGGGCTGACAGGTTTTTTTCAGTCTGACCCTACAGTGTCTCTTGGTGAGAGAATAGCATCTTGGGTCTATGGAGACAAATAGGCTTCATGGGCCAAGCGCTTGTTGTAGTGAAATACCTCTTACCGGTGTCACTCAGCAGTCTCAGTGTCTCTGGGCAGGAGAGAGGAGTTTCAGACCCATGGAGAAAGAGGTATCCCAGGCCAGGCTGCTTGTTGTCATGGGCATGGGCCCCCTTTTGCTGGTACAACCTGGTGACCCTGTGTTGTATCTCTTGGTAGAGGGAGAAGTCCCAGGCCTGGTCAGGAAGAAGAGCATTTACCCTGCCCATGTATGGCTAGCCATAACTGAATTCCCGACTGATCCCTTTGCCAATGGTGCTGGGCTTCCCTGTTGACACTGGATGGACTCCATGAAAAGAAGGAGCTTTCCTGAACCACCTTCTGTTGCTAGGTCACAGGTTGTAAAATGCTGGTCCTGATCACCTTCTTTTACTGGCTGGGGGAAACATAAGATACCCTGCCCCATGCTGCTTCTCTGGTCCTGATGCCAGAAACCAGTCTGCCTTCCTCTTAGCACCTTTCAGAGTCCTCTGCTGGTTGCCTCTCACATTATGTCTGGGATGTATAGTTGTACTTAGGGAAGAAGAACAAAGAAAAATGTTCAGGTCCAATATCTAATCTGGCCATCTTGTATAGATCAGAAGTCTCAGTGATCCTTTTTTAAAAAACACAAGTCCAATCACATCACATCTGTATTTAAAACTTTATAACATCTTTGAATTTCATGCAGAGAAAAGCCAAAGCCCTTACAATGGTTGTAAAAACCTAATATAATTCGCCCTTGTCTTCAGCAATCTCTCTGACCTCACCTCCTACTACTGATCCCAATCCCCATTTACTATGCTCCAGCCAATTGGCCTCTTGAACTGTTTGTCAAACTATCCCAGAAGTCACATACCTTCACATTTACCAATTCTTTTGCTTAGGACATTCTTCCTCCAGATAACCAACCACATGGCTTATCCCTCACGGCCTTTAAATCTCTGCTCAAAGATCAGCTTATCAGAGATTCCTTTCTTGAGTACCTATGTAAAACAGTTACCACTACTCCCTCCCTGAACTCTTCTCATCACTCTTACTACTCTCAATGGTACAATATCTTGCTTACTATGCATTTAGGTAGTTGTATATTATCTATAATATATCTGACACAGAGAGTGCCTAACACTTAGTAGATGCTCAATAAAATTGTGCTGAATAAGTGAATGAATTTCAGGGTGCACATTCCTATACATAGACCCCAACCATAGCTTACTGGGATTACAGTGGTTACACCAAACTGCTTTGTGGGAAAGGACATAACTGAAAAAAAATGCACTAGAACATATGATACGCAACAACAGACGGGACAGTTCCCAGAGAAGTGAACACTCAGAGGCAGTTTACTCCCACCAACCTATCCTCAGAAATTGTAAACTAATTAAGGAAGTGCTACCCTATAGGTTTATCTGGCTTGCATGGACTTTACAATGAGAAAGTAACCTGCTCTCAGATGAATTTCTGGTACAGTAGAAGTAGTACAGCTTCTCTCTTTAAAAGACAAAAAGTCATCCTCCAGACAGGCTATGCACACACGTTTCATAAAGGAGACTACAATGAGAAGTAATAATAATAAACACTTACCTAGTGCTTCCAACATAAGCACTGATCCAAACACATTATATTAATTCATGTAATCCCTAACACAACCTTAAGGGAGTACTAATATTATCCTTTTTTCATATATATTAAAACTGAGGTGCAGAAAGTTTAAGTCACTTACTCAAAATCACACAGCTCACAAGGGATAGAGCTGGGATTCAAACCCAGGCAGATGGGGTTCAGAGTATGTATTTTTAACTACCATCCTCTACTACAAAAGAAGTAACCTAAATCAGTACCTCTCCCATACAACAACAACAAAAAACATAACATATGAACAAATAAAATGATGAATATATGAGAAATGAATTTGAAGCTTATTTCCCTCAAATTCCAATTTGAAGCTTACCTCTTAGGCAACATTTATATTTGTACTTAGTTAAATGTATATAATGTATATGCATTTTAAGTATATATGTTACATATATTTTACATGCTTATATATTTTATGTATATTAAACATGATATTGTTGAAAGTAGCATACTCTTTCTTGTTATTTATAAAATGTTGCACCATATACTAAAATAACTTCACTTGATATTTACAGAGCATGTGTCATAAACTCTATCTAAAATCAGAGGTAAGAAGGGGGAAGCACTCGAAAATATAACTGGAGTAATCAGTTTCATTCAAAATGTAAGTGGGAGAATCAGAATAGAAAATAATGTGATTTGCAGATTTATTTTAAATCAGATCTAAATTAGAATAAAATCATATCCATTAACAATAGAGAAGTTAACTCATGTTTGCCACATCAATATGAGGTTCTAAACTGTCATAATCAGATGGTCAACTAAGCAAAAGTAATGCTGTTGCTCTCTCAGAACGACTGTATTGTTGGCCTATGAGAAACCGCCTGTGTTTGGCCATTTTTGGCCTACAATTATGGCTGTTTCATATGGCTCAGCCTCATAGATTCAGGGCTCCTTTTTTATTTCTTCCTAGGCTCAGTCTTTTCTATTCACGGTTTTTATGTTTATATAAAGTCAGAGATTAAAGGTCGCCTTCCTTCTATGTACCAAGTATATACCCTTTCAATATAATATGCTTCTTCTCGGTCAAAAAGCAGAAACCAAATAAGGTTCAGCACACAGCCTATTTCCTACAGATTTATTGATTTGTTTTCCTAAGAAGTTCTAAGCAATGACACTCTTTTTTTTCACTCAGACCTTGCAAATCTAAAAATTTAGATCTGATTTAAAATAAATCTGCAAATCATATTATTTTCTATTCTGATTCTCCCACTTACATTTTGAATGAAACTGATTACTCGAGTTATATTTTTCAGTGCTTCCCCCTTTTTACCTCTGTTTTTAAATAGAGTTTATGACATGTGCTCTGTAAATATCAAGTAAAACTACTTTAGGATTTGAAATAGTCTATTTAAAAAAAAAGAAAGAAAGAAATACCTGCTATTTTCTCCTAGAGTCAGTAAGATTTTCCTATTTGTCCTAACAATGGATAGAATAGTTTATTACTTTGGTAGGTTTCCCCAACTAGAGATCTCAGATACTACAACAAAGAGCACATCATGGGCACTCAAAAATATCTAAGATGGGTACACAGGGATGAAAGAGAACAGGAGCAGAATCTTGACACTGACCAGCAGGAGGAATATATCAGTGTACCCTTAACTGAATGCCTCAGGCCATCTTGACTGAGACCCTAATGCCATTCTTTTAATAGAAGATGCATTGCTGACACAAAAAGAAATCAAACATGGCACCTGTTTTCAAAGGGTCGAGAATTCAGTCTCATTCTCCAGGGCCAGCCCAGCAACTGAGCCCTCCAAATTTGTCCAGAACCTTAGTTTTGATGACAAACTATCTTCTCCCCTTCAGCCTTCCATTCCTAAGATTCAATAGGCCAGAAGCAATTGTAGACTAGGCCACATGCACCACGCACCCTGTCCTCTCTGAATTCAGGCATCGAAAACTGCACTCCAAGTTCCTGGGAGTCTGAGTGGATCTACTAACTCTTAGATAGTTGTCCAATCAGGGATTTATCTGCAACTTGGCAGTATTATCTGCAACCTGAGACACTGGCATTCCTTGGGGGCCCTGATGTTTCAACCAATTGGGTGCAAAAAGACTCAGAATATGAATCAGAAGTATCCGAATACCTGTCCTAGTTCAGATTCACACAATATATATTAAAATTTACTAAAATTTATCCTAAAAATCAGTAGCAGTTGTGAAGCACCTATCAGCATGTGTGTTGTGCCAAGTGTTTCAGATGTGTTATCTCATTTAATCCTCATGGGATTCCTATTTATTATTTCTAGTTTGTAGAAGAGAAAATGGAAGCTCAGAATGAGTTAAATGTCTTCCTCAGAGATACATAGTGTTCAAGGCAGGTTTTGAACCCTGGGAGTTGGATTTCAGAGTCTATAATCTGATACAGGGTATCCTACAAAAGAACAATTATGGAGGTCATGAACAACTTCCATACAGCCCAAAGTAAAGAGATGGCAGTAGGCTGAATTTTTTAACCTCAGTGGCTCCCCACCCAATATACATTCACTAGGTAATGGCCTTCCTTCCCCTTCACCGCATGCCCTGTTGACCCAGATATAAATACACTGATGCCTGCATCTTCCAAGAGCACACTCAGCTAAAAAAAAAAGATGAGCTCAGAGTAAAGACTGATCCCTTTTCATGCTTCATTGACAAAATCTACCAAACTTTTCCTTGGTCAAACTCATGTGTTTTCATCCCAGAAAAATGCATGTTGTGGGCCCCGGCTAGGAGAAGCGGTCTGAAATGATTTCTACCTCTCTACTGAAGAACATTTCCCATCATCATTTTTCTGCAGTAAAGAATCCCAAAGTTTAATTTCCATTTTCCCAGTGTTTTTACAGATTTTGAATTATTTCCATTTCCCAACACAGGATACAAAGAAAGGGAAAAAAAAAAAAGACTACATCAGGCACAGAAAAATCACTTCCAAATCATTTAGGAAGAAAAAAAATAGCACAACAAACTAGTATCCTCAAAGATGACTTAAGGTTTCCCTATCTTGTTGCAACTGCTCCCAACCCACCTCATTCCTCAATATGTCTGAAAACACCATCTGCTTTAAGAGATGTTGCTAGGAGGCTGCTGTCTGTGCACCATGTTGGGATGCGGCTTTACTTCCCTATAACCTTACAGGGATCTTCTTTCAGAACACCTATCAGGGACCTCCAAGTCTAGGGTATGGTGAGAGACACCCACCTCACTGCAGCGTAAGTGCTCTAATATTGGGCATATATAATTAACACAATTGTCCAGGTGGGGTACTTCATATTGCCTTAATATTTCAGAAGGATGAGGAAGCTATCAGTCAGTTCTATCCCATCAGAGAGACAATCTTCTACTAATTTGAAGAAGAAATTACTTTTTTGTATGTAATTCAAAAACAGTCACAAATTATTCTTCTCACTGTAACCATGCCTCTTTGCAGTGTGACTTTTCAGATCTTGTCATCAATAGGTGGCATCTATTTCCCCAACCTATGAATGATTTGCTTTGGCATAGAAAATGTGGCAGAAGTGCCAGTATGGCAATTCTGCTTCTAGGGCTTTGCAGCTTCCACCCTGTTTCAGAACTCTGCCAGTGAACTACCAGAGCAAGCTGGACTAGCCTGTTGGAAGATGAGAGACCACATGGGACAGATACAAGTCAGCCTAGCCATCCTAGCTGAAGCCTCAGACAGGAGAGGCCAGCCATATCAGCAGAGCCACACATCCAACCCATGAGTAGCTGCAGAAGCCAGAAGGAGCCCACCTGAGACCAGAAAAATGATCCCCCAGAGCCTGCACCAGATTGTTAACCCAAAGAAGGGTGACCTCAAAAAAATGGTTGTTGTTTTAAGGCATAAGTTTTGGGGTGGTTTGCTACACCACAAAAGCTGACTAATGTCTTTGTTCTATAAATAAGTACATCAGAATATTAAAGAAGAAAAAGATAAAAGAGAAATCCCTCTTAAGAGACAACTCATAATTTAAAAAGAAATGATAAAATACTGCTTTTTCTTTTGTAAAGCAGATTTAATTATACATTCAACTACGTCACTATCTAATAATGCAATCTGAACTAAATCACTAGTGGAAAGAAATTACTTTCCTTTTAGAAGTGATAATGCACTACAGTAGAAGGAGTGTTGGTCGGTAATTAAAAGATGTGCATTTTAACCTGGGCTCATTTACCAGGTAGCTATGTGATTGTGGCAGATCTCACTTCCTGACCCTCAATTCTAATGAAGAAAAACAAAGGGATGGCATATGATAAACTTTCAGGCTGGGTCCAATTCTAAAATTTAAAAAATTATTTCATTTTTCTCTGAAACATCAGCACTTTTTACTATATTTCCAATGGTAATAAAAACACTGCAGTCACTCCTCCAACTAATAGTCTTGGAGTTCCTACAATGTGCCAAGCACTGCCCTAACTCATGAAAATACAGCAGTCAATAAGACAGACAAGCATCTGCCCTGGGGGTGAGCTGGGGAAAGCTTGTAAGCTTATGAGAGCCAACTGTACCCTTCACTTTCCAAATCTGTGTTCAGTGATGAAGTATCCATATCTCGAAATCAGACACTACAGTATTTACACCATGGAAATTGGCGAATGCTACAAGTTACTTTCCCCATTAAGAGAGCCAGGTCTTAAACACGGACAAGGACACCTCTGGACTCTGCTCTCATTGAGTCAAAAACCTAATACGGGAGCTAGATATTACATAACTATGTAAAAAACATTTGATTACAACTGTGAGAAGTGTGGTGAAGCAGGGGAGGGGCTAATCCATGGGGAGAAAACATGTGTTCCAAGCAGAGGAAAAGTATTGTGAAAAATTTCAGCAGAAAGAAATATGCCGTGTCTAGGGAAACAGAAGGCGGCTATTGTGGACGGAGCACAAAAGGAAAGGGGCCAAGAACTTGGAGGGAAGGTGGAAAAGAAGGTGTTAAGGAAGACTTTCAGGGTTCAGGACTGTGCCACTCTGTGAAGGGTGGTACCTTTAATAAGGCACCAGGACCAGGTCAGGATTTAAGGGAGGAAGAACATGATACCAATCTTGGAAATGTTTGCTTTCCGGTATCTCAGGAACAGGGTATTGGAAGGTGATATGAAATTGGGAGCCAATGTATCCAGATGGTAAAATAAGTTTTAAGTGCAGGTGAGATTCCCTAACATGTGAGTAGAGAAGGACTGCAACTTACAGCCAGTAAAGTAGATTGCGAACATGTGGCTGGAGAGGTAGGAAGAGGTAGGAGAAAAAGAAAGTCAAGAAAAGAAAGTGTTTCGAGGAAAATGGGGTTATCAACAATGTAAAATTATATAAAAATAATCAAGCACCACAGAGCTCAAGATGGCCAGCATGTTTTAAAATGTGAAGGTCATTGATGGGTTAAGAAAGACTAATTTGGAGGAGTAGTGGGTACAGAATCCAGGTTGATATGTATTGAAAAGTTGGTGAAAGGTGAGAATAATGGGGAGAGCATAGGCAGGTCTTTGAAGAAGCTTGCTATGAGTGAAAGCGAGAAAGAAAGGAAGTAGCCAGTGAGGGTCAAGAGGGGATATAGGGTTTTCTTTTAAGATGGGTAAGCATGTCATGTTTAATATTGATGTACAGATCTGGTTACAGGGGAAATATTGACAACATAAGAAAGGGAAGGGATCAATTTTAGTATGAAATCATTGAGAAGCTAGGGTCCAGGGTCAAAGTGGAAAGGATGGGCTGGGAAAGGAAGAGGGAGACAGAGGAAAGCAGCTGTAAATGAAAGTGTGCTATTAGGTCTGGTGGCAGGGAATACTGTGTTTTCTCTCTTCTCCAGGAGGCAGAGGTCACATAAACTGCTAAGAGTAAGACAGCTGGAGATTTAAACAAGAAGGAGAGGGTTTTAATGAATGAACTACTGAAAGGTCATTGGCTTTGGACCTGACAGATCTGGCTTTCCACCATTTAGTAACCTGTAACCTTAGACAAGATGCACAGCCTTTGTAAGTCTCATTCATTTGACACACATCGATTGAGCAGTGACTGTATGTTAGCAGTGTATTCAAAATGCCAAACAAATGAGGTAAAGTCCCCGAATTCAAGGCCTTCATCATCCACTGGGAAAGGAAAAAGAGTCAGACAGAATCAACATAGCATTAATAGTGCTAAGGTAAAGGAAGGCACAAGGTATTCCAGAAGAACAGAAGAGAGGGTTTCATTCTAAATTGGCAGGGTTAGAGAGAGTCTTCCAGGGTAAAAATCACCCTCTCCATAGCCTCAGTTTCCTCAATGCAAAATGGAAAAAAATCAATCAATTCATGAATTCATGTGATAGTTTGTCCACATAAGGTACCTTGGCACAATGTCTGCAGCACAACAGTTTATTAATAAGTTCTACTTTCCTTACCCAGAAATTATCATGGTACCATTAAGGCTATTAGGTTAACATACAACATTGCCAAAAACTTATATTCTCTGTACAGTTTTCAATTTTCCCCATGTTTCTCAAGACATGTTCTTTCCTCATGATGGCTAGAAGCCACTAAAATTATCCTTGAAATGTTAAAGCCCAGATTAGAAAACTATACAAAACTAACAATAATGTCTTGTACAGGGAATGATAGCCACTGACAGAGTTAACACATTCTATTCCCGCTTTTATTTCTCTTTCAAGTTTATGGGCCAGATGTTAGCTGGATCCTTAACACCTGAGTCTCTGCCTTCCTTCAAATAAATGATTGTCCAATGTGTCAGTCAGTAATTCTAACTGCAAAGGGACAAACACTCTATCTTAAACTGGCATAGCCTATGAAGGGGATTGATTCATTCATGGAACTGAAATGGACTGATCTGGTATCTCAAATGACATCATTAAGGACTTGGTTCTTCACTGGCTTGTCTTCTGCAGGGCTAGCTTCCCCTTTGAGCTCCCAAAGTGGCATCTGAGCTACTCCAATATCTTCTTTCATGGGAACAAGATAACAAAAGTGAGTCCAGATATTACATCCTTGCAGCACATAATCCAGAAAAAGAAGGAAAGTTTCTTTCCCCACAAGTTCAAGGAAGCTTCTTATTGCAAGAAACTTTGCATTGGCTCTGAAGAGCCATTCCTGATCCAAGCTCTGTGCAGTGATGTCCAATAACATATTCTGCAATGATGGAAATGGCACCTGGACACAGGTGGCTAGTGAGCACCTGAAAGGTAGGTAGTGGGATTGAGAAACTGAATTTTTAATTTAATTTTAATTAATTAAAACTTAACTGTAAACAGTGACATGAGTCTAGAGGCTACTGTATGAGACAGCACAGCTCTACGGTGAGAAAAGGGTGGACTACATTGGTTGGCTAAACCAGTCAATGCTCACTGCCTTGATCTGGGGGTGAAGTTAATCCCATTCATTCAACCAAGGGAACCAAGGGAAGTCATTCTGCCTGGTGTCCTGGAGTCCACCATTCTTATTTTCCCTAGATTAATGGCCCAATTCGACACGAAAATCCTTTGCCAAGGACTCATATTTATAAATCTTACCTAGCAAAATGACACCTGAAAGTCACTTTGGAATAATAGCCTTTTAAGTCAGAGAGGGACCTCAGGGCTCCTACACTTTAGATCCATACATCACAGAGAAGAATTGGGATTGGAGCATAATTGCTTTGCTTATGGCCATTACGAGCAAGACCTGGATATGCTGATCTTCAGCCATTTTTCCACTGTAAAAATCTAGTCTTTATGCCACAGCACTCCAATAGGCCCACTGTGACAGAATTAACCTCATTCCATATGAAGCTTTGCAATCATTAGCTTATTGAAGCTTCCAGTATAGGATGTTACCATAGAGGCCCGATATTTATACTCAAACATCTAAATGAGCTTAAAAGTTCATGTAAATTAGGTAGGCTAGCCTGGTGGGAAATGTGGCAGATTGCATACCACACACCCTGTCTAAAGCAGGCAGCTGCTGCACTGCCCCAGCCAAATGTGGCCATGGGGGTATGTCGGCCGGCATTTCCATGCCTTCTGATTTTTTGAGAAATCCAGATCTGTATATGAACCTGCAGATTTTTAAATGCTGGCAACTCATGTTTATGTATTTAATTATTTGCACAGGCCAAGCAAGAACTGTTCGTGAATGGGTGCAGGCTCCAGTTTGCACACTGCGATATAGATTTTAAAAGTCTGACTTACCAGAAATTAAAGCCACCAGAGTGGTTGCTGCTGGTGGTGCCCATGTGTTTTCATGTATGCCAACGGACAGCTTCCAGCTGCATCTATGTCTGAGGGATTTCTCAAAGCCTAGGGCCCACTGGCCTGGAAGCCCCTCAGTCTCCAGGAGAGGCTGGCAGAAGAGCTGAGAAAATAACCCCTGAGAGAGCTGCCCCCAGTCACTGATTATTAGGAACTGGTGGGTATACCACTGCTCCCTCTCCTCTCTGCACTGTCTCCCAGGGCTCTCCAATGGGACGGAGCTTCACTTGTACACCATGGTAACTTATTTGATAGTGCACCCTTTAATGGCTGTCTTCCCTTGCCTATCTCACTTCCCCATGGCCCTGCCCACACTTTCTGGGGTCACCTCCCAAATAAACCACTTGAACTTGAATCCTTTCCTTGCAGTCAACTGTTGGAAAAACTCAACCTACAAACACCAGAAACCTGAAATTATTTTGAAATTCTGTTTTTGTTCTTTACTTTTTTCCTCTAGTTATGAACTATGTCAGGGTTAAAATATATGAAAAAGTCACTTTAGTATCTAAGAAGGCATATACTCTGATATGTTAATGTCTCAATATTCACAATATAACGCTGAAACTTCTGTCCTCTTGCATAATGAAGCCATGCTATAGGACCAAGTGTTCATCTAAAAATAGAATCCATTATGTATACCAGCACAGTCATTAGTTTCTTAGCATAGCAACTAGCTCTGTCCCATAAAACTTTTCACTTAAGCATTCATTTCACACAGGTGCATTGTTTGCCGTGATGCAATATAATTTTCAGACCACTGTTCCTAAGTGGAGTTTTGCACAATGCCAGGGAGAAATCTCATGAAAAATCATTACCACAATCCCCATTCCCTATAGAAGCAGAATAAAAAACCAAACATTCTAACAGGAGAAATGTGAATTTTACTATTCTGAAATGTATCATGTAGAGGTGATGAAAGGCAAACTTCCTATCACACCTGAAATTATCTAGCTCTCTCTGGTTTGCCCAGTTGAGTGTATGTCTCAGTTAAGGAAGGATTCCTACAAATTGATAAGAAATGACATAATGCTACAATTTAATAAGATAACATCTGCCTTTGTATCCCAGAAATGAAAAATTAGCTATAAAATAAAATAGTTATATAAGGTCATTCTTAAAACCACATTCACTCATTCAAGGGTGCAGCTAATTTAATTAAGTATGGAATTTACACAGTACTGTGATCTAAACAAGGGTCTCAAAAAACACAAATATAAGGTTAATAAACAGGACTTGAATTCTGAGGACATGTTTGGTAACGATAAAACAAACAGCTAATACCTGTAACATTCAGGGAATGGAAAGTTAAAAAAATTTTCATCGACAGAATATAATAAAAAAACTATTTTGATTCAACCTTAGATATTGAGACTAATTCTAAAAAAATCCTAGTAATTTATTGCCTTACTAAGCACAGTGTAAGGAATATTATCCAGTCATAGTCAAATAATTCAGAATCTGGTAGGGCCTGTAGTTGCTCATGTGGAGTGTTACTTCTGAGTAGAAAGTAGGCCACGTCACAGGCAGGAAAGGCAAAGTGAGCACATCCTTTCAGGAAGTTTACTGAATTAATTTGTAAGGTCAGCTTGCTTTCTATCTGTGTTCACCTTGGCTGTACATTAGAATCAAATGAGGAGCTTTCAAAAAAAAAAAAAAAGTCCAATGTTCTGACCACACCCCAGACCAATTAAGTCAGATTCTCTGGAGACAGGAAGCCCAGGCAGCAGCGTCCTTTGAGGCTCCCCCTGTGATTTCATTGTGCAGCCCAACTTGAGAATACCTTCTTCATACAGTTTGTCTGTTCCTAGCAAATGTACTAGGCCTACTGAGGTTTCTTTTTCAAACAAATCCAAGGAAAAAAATCCTGCAGGCAAACTTAACTTTACATATTAAACAGGTTCTTTAAACAGCAAAAAGTTAAGAGCCAGAACATAGAGCCAGACTGCACTGCCACTGTTGTTTCTATTCCTGACTCTGCCATTAACCAACTGTACAACCAGGGATCATGACATAACCTCTGTTCACACTTCAGTTTACTCACTTTTAAATGTAGATAATAGTAGCACTGTCATTCATAGGATTATGGAAATGACGAAATTGCATAGGTCTGTTAACACACACTATATATATGTGTAAGTATACACACACTATGTATGTATATATGTAGCACGGCATATAGACACACTATGTATGTATATATGTAGCATATATGCACTATATACATACTATTATAGACTATAAGTATACCTATGCTACATATACTATATAAATATATGTATAAAAATATGTATATGCTATAAATATACAGACTATATATTATTAGAATTGTGTCTGGCAAGGATAAAACAGCATATATGTGTTTGCTGTTGGTGATGCTAAGGATAACAAGGATAATGATAACAACGATAAAAAGGTATGTGCAAAGTAAATTAGTGAATATTACATACTTTGCTAGATTTGAGAAACTTATTTATAATAGGTACCAACGTCCTAATAAGTCAGTTGTTCAAAGTTTGCATTTTTGCCTTTTAAATTACTTAAAGTAAATTTAAAATATTTTAAAGTGGAAGAAAGTAATTATATTATTTATTTTAATATTTTGTGTGTGTGTGATAAATGTTTAAATAATCCAACTATCAATCTAAATTTATTTTCCCAAAAGACAAAAAGAGACTTGTCTTGCTGATTAAATATAGAAAGAGCTTGACAAGTGATAGGTTTGGCTGTGTCCCCACCCAAATCTCATCTTGAATTCCCCCGTGTTGTAGGAGGGACCTGGTGGGAGGTAATGGAATCATGGGGGCAGGTCTTTCCTCTGCTGTTCTCATGATAGTGAATAAGTCTCACAAGATCTAATGGTTTTAAAAATGGGAGTTTCCCGTAGAAGCCCTTTTCTCTTGGCTGACACCATGTGAGACGTGCCTCTCACCTTCCACTATGATTGTGAGGCCTCCCCAGCCACGTGGAACTGTAATCCTATTATACCTCTTTCTTTTATAAATTGTCCAGTCTTGGGTATGTCTTTATCAGTGGCATGAAAACGGCCTAATACAGTAAATTGTACCAGTAGTGTGGTGTTGCTGAAAAGATACCCAAAAATGGGGAAGCAACTTTGGAACTGGGTAAAAAGCAGAGGTTAGAACAGTTTGGAAGGCTCAGAAGGAGACAGGAAAATGTGGAAAAGTTTGGAACTTCCTAGAGACTTGTTGAATGGCTTTGACAAAAATGCTGATAATGATATGAACAATAAGGTCCAGGCTGAGGTGGTCTCAGATGGAGATGAGGAACTCATTGGGAACTGGAGCAAAGGACACTCTTGTTATGTTTTAGCAAAGAGACTGGCAGCATTTTTCCCCTGCCCTGGAGATTTAGAGAACTTTGAACTAGAGAGAGATGATTTAGGGTATCTGGTGGAAGAAATTTCTTTTTTTCTTTTTTTTTTTTTTTTTTTTGAGATGGAGTTTCACTCTTGTTGCCCAGGCTGGAGTACAATGGCACGATCTTGGCTCACTGCAACCTCCACTTCCCAGGTTCAAGTGATTCACCTGCCTCAGCCTTCCCAGGTAGCTGGGATTACAGGCATGTGCCACCCTGCCTGGCTAATTTTGTGTTTTTAGTAGAGATGGGGTTTCTCCATGTTGGTCAGGCTGGTTCCGAACTCCCAACCTCAGGTGATCCACCCAACTCAGCCTCCCAAAGTGCTGGGATTGCAGGCATGAGCCACCACGCCCGGCCTGGTGGAAGAAATTTCTAACCAGCAAAGCATTCAAGAGGTGGCTTGGGTACCGTTAAAGATATTCAGTTTTATAAGGGAAACAGGGCATAAAAGTTCAGAAAATTTGCAGCCTGACAATGCAATAGAAAAGGAAATCCCATTTTCTGAGGAGAAGTTCAAGCCGGCTGCAGAAATTTGCATAAGTAACAAGAAGCCAAATGTTAATCCTCAAGACAATGGGGAAAATGGCTCCAGGGCATGTCAGATGTCTTCATGGCAGCCCCTCCCATCATAGGCCCAGAGGCCTAGGAGGAAAAAATGGTTTTGTGGGTTGGAACAAGGGTCCCTGTGCTGTGTGTAGCCTAGGGACTTGGTGCCCTACATCCCTGCCACTCTAGCTGTGTCTGAAAGGGGCCAATATAGAACATGGGCCATGGCTTCAGAAAGTGCAAGCACCAAGCCTTGACAGCTTCCACATGGTGTTGAGTCTGTGGGTGCACAGAAGTCAAGAATTGAGGTTTGGGAACCTCTGCCTAGATTTCAGAGGATGTATGGAAACACCTGGATGTCCAGGCAGAAGCTTGCTGCTGGGGTGGTGCTCTCATGGAGAGTCTCGGCTAGGGCAGTGCAGAAGGGAAATGTGGGGTTGGAGCCCCCAGTCCCAACTGGGGCACTGCCTAGTGGAGCTGTGAGAAGAAGGCCACCATCCTCCAGACTCTAGAATGGTAGATCCACCTACAACTTGCACCATGCCCCTGGAAAAGCCACAGACACTCAATGCCAGCCCATGAAAGCAGCCAGGAAGGGGGCTGTACCCTGCAAAGCCACAGGGGCGGAGTTGCCCAAGGCCATGGGAGCCCATCTCTTGCATCAGTGTGACCTGGATGTGAGACACGGAGTCAAAGGAGATCATTTTGGAGCTTTAAGATTTGACTACCCTGCTAGATTTTGGACTTGCATGAGGCCTGTAGCCCCTTTGTTTTGGCCAATTTCTCCCATTTGGAATGGCTCTATTTACCCAATGCCTATACCTCCATTGTATCTAGAAAGTAACTAGCTTTCGATTTTACAGGCTCATAGGCAGAAGGGAATTGCTTTATCTCGGATTAGACTTGGGACTGTGGACTTTTGAGTTAATGCTGAAATGAGTTAAGACTTTGGGGGACTGTTGGAAAGGCATGATTTGTTTTGAAATATTAGGACATGAGATTTGGGAAGCTCCAGGGGCAGAATGATATGGTTTGGCTGTGTCCCTACCCAAATCTCAGCTTGATTTCCCGTATGTTGTGGGTGAGACCTCTTTCTTTTGTAAACTGCCCAGTCTCAGGTATGTCTTATCAGCAGCATGAAAATGGACTAATACAATAATGTCTCCATCAGTACCATCAACAATCTTGAGTTGGCAAGAAAATGAACTACAGAACAACCAAAAATGCCTACTCTACCTACAACATTTGTAATTCAAACAAAAGAGCATGGCATTATATCAATACCAAGTACCCGGGGATTCTATTTGTAACAAAGTCAAAGGAATTTTCTCCGTAACAGGAAGTAAAATTATGAACAATATGCAGAATGCATTTCCTTCACATATTCTGCCAATCCAATGGCTCGAACCATTTTTTGGCATCAAAAAGTACAAATATTCCATTATAATAGCTTCATAGCATGGAAAGTATCCAATTTAATTTCTCCTAAAGTAGTGGGAAGAGCTAAATATATGCAACTTATGAAACCAAGGAACAATTTTGTAATTAAATTATATTAGGAGTAATGAATTTTCGTGGTATTACATGTTTCTAAACTCTGGTTACAATATATTAAAACAAGCATTGCTGTTGTTATGCCCATAATGAAGTGTGGTGATTGTGACATAAAAATTATACTAATGCATTTCTACTCTAAAAATGATTCCAAAGAAGCTGCAATGAAACCATCTCAAAATGACTAGCCTAATTTTAAAATATACTTTAAAAGGCTACACTTCAATTAGAAATTCTACCAAAAAAATCATACATCACATCCTCTAAGAAGAACTTGTAAATGATTCCATTCTAATAACATTTATTTGTATGTTGTGTCTACATAAGCTAAGGCATCATGACATGTCTATTCTATGCTAGCCAGAGTTCACTGGTGCAAAATCTCTGAGGAGTCACAGAAGTGAAAAGAAGGTAATGTTAATAAAAATGGAAAAACTTAACCTGGAAGTTGATATGGTGAGGATAGATTTGTTCCTCAGCAATCTGAACCTTGGCTTAGTGGCTAAACTATCCTCAAAAACACTAAAAGTTTAATCTCTAAGGTCTTGGTCAGTAGGGAGGAAGAGGAGTGGCCTGATGCCCATGTAGTTGTCACAATCCTAAAGTGACTATCTTAGGAAAAAGGCATAGGCAACCATGATTGTGTCCAATTTTTCTTGTGAATAATACAATTTTCTCCTATCAAAGTCCTCTAAATCATCTTAAAAGTTGTTCCATACGATGCTTCAAATTTCCAAGGGTCCAAGAAACTTTCACCTATGATGGACTATTTATTAGCAAATTATCCCCAGAGGGAAAGTCTTTTAAACAATAAATCCTTCTTTTGCCTTCCATGGCTCTGTTCCCACAACATTATGAAATACATAAATAAACATCTTATTTGCCCAAACAGACCTAAGCTTCAATGTTTCAGATCAAAAGACCACAGCAGAGTCTAAATAGAAAACAAGTCAGTGTTGCCTTGAAGAAGAAAAAAGGAATAAAAAGATATACATAAATAAATGGTCACTTGGTTTTCAAAACAGCACATTTTTGTGGTCTCTAATACTTATGGACAATTGTTTGGTCAGAGAGTCATTGTTTATTATGTAGCAATAATAAAAGCCACCACAAAGGATGGAGAGTTTACAAAGTAGCAGGTGTTATGCTAAGTCATTCATTTTACACATTGAATGTTCACAACAACACTAAGAGAGTAATACCCACCTTATAGATAATGAAACCAAGGCTTTGATTTTTAAAGAGATTCACTGAGGGTGACTCATTAAATACACAGCAGAGCCAGACTGTGACAAACCACATCTGTCACAGCTTCAAAGCTGGTTTCCTCAACCAGCTTTGGGCTTCCCAAATTAGGACTGTTTTAGGAAAATCAGACTTGGCTTCAAATAAAAGTGTTCACTTAATATGTTCCAATCTCTCTTAACCAAGGAATCATTTTAAAACCCTTCATTTGGGGGCATCTATATTAAGTTGTTAAGCACTATGCATCTGCATTAAGCAGTTCCTAGATAAGGATTCTAGTAAAAGTAGTTTATTTTAGAGGTGGTTTTAGAACACAATCAGGAGTGGAGAAGTGAGACAGGAAGGGAAGGAAGCCCATAAGGGGAACATTTTCAAGCCAGTTGCCACTGTGGGTAACTGGGCTTAATCCCACTAGAGAGTTCTGGGATATAATATAAAGAATGCACCTTTAAGTTATCCCACCCAAGAGGTGAGGGAGCTGTGGTATTTATCCACTGAATCCCATTGGTGAGGGTGAGTGTGAATTGCCAGGAACTTCTGGGCAGCTGCATGGGTAGCAACATGAGTTCTAGTAGCCAGACAAAGCAAAAGAATGCAGGCACTGGCCAGCCACTGGAGCCCGGCTTATGTTCTCAGGAGTGGTGAGGAAGAGGGTGTGGGTATGGCACTGTGTCTGTTTTAGCTATTAATATCATCAATACTGGTGAAGGAAATTCAAGGAAGGTGAAGGAAAGGACTTAGTCCCCAGATGCTGCTGCTTAGTCAACAATGACTGACACACTGCTCCAGGCCAAGGAACAATCCCAGCCCTCACAAAGCAATCCTCACGTGAATTTTGCTGGTTTTTTTCCCAGATAATGTAAGTTATTGTTTCAACTTTTAGAGAAAGCTACCAAATAAAATAAATAGCACTTATCTTCTAAATTTATAACTACATCATTGCATTTAATCACTCAGTGGACTCTTGAATGACCTATCCCATTTACTATACACAAGAAGGGTCAAAGTTGACAATTTTGGGATACCCTAGAGAAGCATATCCCAAAGAGAAAGCCCCACTGCTAAAAATCATTAATGAAATGTGTGGTACCCAGTAGTTCTTTATGGAAGCCAGACTATTTTTAATAGGAAATCACTAGATTTTCTTGTTGACATTTATGATGCATCATTCAAAATATTTTTGAACTCTGGACTCATGCTGAAAAATGTTACTGTGACTTATGTAAATATTTAACTTTTAAACTTTGCTTTTGAACTCTGTAGAAATTTAAGGTTATCATAAGAGAAGACTATCTATGGTTGCCATTAATGGAAACTGAATCATCACTCTGTACAAACATCCAGAATGGTGTCTCATGCAAATTCACAGGGCAGAACAAGATGGCAGATGGCATGAATGGTAGAACCAATCTTTCTTGCCCTAAGTCTCCAGAAATGACTAAATATGCAGGTATAAATTTAAATCTCTAATATAGGATCACGGGTAAACAAAAAGAATTACAATTTTGAACCACAAAGTAAGAAAGGCAGAAAATAAATGAGATAAGAATGAAGTAGGAAATCAGAACCCAGCAGTCCACAGGCATTAAAACATAACAGATCTTTGGGCCATCCAAACCAGGTAGTGAAATGTCAGCTCTACGAGTGATATGAAGAAATTGAAGTTAGAGCTCCACCTTACACCAGTCCTCATAATACATTACATATGGATTAAAAACCTAGATTAATAACGGTGATGAGAAGGAATCAGAAATATCTTAAAGGAAGCAAAAAGTGGGGAGGTAGTTGGAATGTAACTACATGAAAACTTAAAGCTTCAAGTCATCTTTTGTTACCCATAAATTAGATGTTAAGAAAGTCAAAGACAAACCACAGACAGGAAGAGTGTAATTGCAACATTTATAACAGCTAAAGGAGTACATCTAGAATACACAGAGAACTGTCCACACAAGGGCAAGAGATATAAATAGGCAATCCATGTAAGGAAAAACTGAAATGATCAATAAATGTATGATAATATACACAGTTTACTAGCAAATCAGGCAACGACAGATTAAAACAAGGTGATATAACAGTTGCATCAGTTAGGCAAAAATTAAAATATTTCCTATTACTGTTGGTTGGGCTTAAGAAAACAGTTCCACTCATATAAGACAGGTAGGGTTATAAAATGGTACAGCCATTCATTATAATTTAGGATAGGTATAGCCTTAAATCAGCAATCGCACTTCTGAGCATTTACCTTAGGGAATCCCTGACCCATATTCCCAGAGAGGGCTACACACAGCTGACTATTACTCCATATTATAGGATTCTTTGTAACCCCAAATTAGAGACAAACACCAAGAATCCACCAGTGAGAACTTCTGTATTCTTAAATAAAATGTGGTAATCAATTGTTTAACATACGATAGAGCAATATGAAAGAATGTGATACATACACATGTACTAACATGAAAAATTCCCTAAGATAGGCCAATTTAACGGAATGATATAGACACACATGTACTAACTTGAAAAGTTCTCTGAGACACACTATATGGTAAAAAGGAAATTGTAGAATGGTTAATATGATGTGACTTAGTATAAAAATGGACATAAGCAAAACAAAATGAAATATTTCCATAGTTACACATGCACAAATTTATTTAAAAGAGACCTAGGAAGAAACCATGAAGCTATTACTATTAGTTGACTCTGAATAGAGAACTAGGATTGGAGTCAATGGGAGAGTGCAGTTTAAAGATAGTTACATTGCTTTACTATTTTACAGATAAAAAGATATTTGTATATTATCCACAATATTAAAAACAAATAAAATTTGTAACAAAAAAGAAAGTAATGGGAGTTCTTCATGCAAACCGTGTGTTCTTCCTCCCATTCCTTTTCAAATTTAATGATGTGTTCCTTTTCCCTTCCCCCAAGCTCCAGTTTTATGAAGACAAGGAAGGGTTTACTGAACTATATTGAACTTCTTGGATCTGAACTAGTGGTGACTAGTTTTATTTTTACACCAACCTTGGCACAGAAGCAGGGCATCAGGTTGCAAGGCAAAGGTCTAATTTTTTTCATATTCTAGCAGGATAGGTTTTGGTTAGCTCTTTAACATTGACACTTTTTTCTTCTTTAGCCTTTCTTTCAAAACCGGTGGAGCAGATTCTTATAGTTCACATGGTTTTCACAGCTAACACTTCCTGTGTTGGTTTCTAGTGTTCACATGGCACGGATCCAAAGAAAAGTTATAGCCTAATGTAGGCCACCTCTCAAGTACTCAGGCTGTGCAGGACTCCCTTCTCACCCATGACTTACAGATAAATTCATCCTCTTCACATCACCTACACTTACACAAGAAAAACCACTCTGCTTAAAATAGTCATATTCAGAAACTCATTTTTGCTCATTTTATTCAATAAGATTTACAGAGCCAACAATACAGTGAAAAGAATTATTAAAATAAGTCCAGAGCTGGTACAAAGCATGAACATTTATCCCTAAAAATGATATTCATATTTATCTGCTTCCACCAACTCCAAACATCCTGTCAGTGTTTCACTAAAGCACATTTCTGCTACCTAAAAATGACTCGCTAGCTTTAGTTTTTAATTCCTAAATTCATCATCTGTGCTGTCTTCTTTGTCACCTATCATTTCTGTGGTGACAAATCAAAGGAGGGGTTTTGGAAGGTAGCATGTCATTGTCTACAGAGGGGAAAGCCAGTGGCTTGAAATAAGTGGCTCTGATACAAGATCTGATGTAGCCATGACAAGAGACGGACATGCATAGAACATCATAAAATGTGGCCATTTACCTCCAATGCTATAAAAAAGAAAAATAAAAAACACTTGTAAAATCCCCTCTGCTAGGGATTTCTGCTCACCTCTGAGCAGACTAGGCCTCAGATGATTGCTAATCCAAGTGCTTTGGTATAAGCTTCGTGGACCAAAGAGGGAATATATTGGAAGAAGCCCAAAGGAAGAAGAGAGGCATATTACAATAAATACCAATGCAAGCTTCCCAACCAATGGAAAACACAGTGTATAAAATCAAGGGATAAACTTAAAGGTATCACATTTTTTTTTTGTTTTCTGAGAGATTATCTCTATGGTACATGTGGCAGATTCCTAAAACTAATTGCCAGATAAAAAATATTTTTTAAAAAGTGGCCCTCTAAGTAGCATCATGAATGTACCATTCATTCATGTACCTTCAAATGATCTTATGCAAAAAAATCCCCACTAAAAGCTTGGCATGCCATCTTTTATTTGCATGCACCATTTCTTCTAGCACACATTTACTCTAATTCATCACTTGGAGTCGTCCATCTCCTAAAAGTGGATGAATCACTCTTACTGGTTCCAGGGCTGGGCTTCAAGCCAGAAAGAAAATGACAAACTTGAAAGCATGGTAAGTTTAATTTTTTTTTCTTAAATCCTCTCATCTTTTGGATTCTAAGATATATGATCACTAAGAAATGAGCCTCCAAATTCTGATAAATGACTGAGAGATGACTTTGGCATTTAGAAAGTGAAAAGTAAAATTTACTATTTCTATCTCTTGGCTAGAACTGTAAGAGTAATATCCATGAAAAGAAAAGCAATAACATGATAAAAGGAATTGCTACCACATTATCTGTTTCGCTTGGTCATAAACAGCATTGCAACCAAGATTTAAAAGTTTGTGTAAAAAATGAAAACAAATTTTCCTACCTTTGAAAATAAGCATGGGTCAAAATACTGGGTTCACAACAGAAATGCAACAAAGAGCCTTTGGTCCTAAACCCTTTTTCTTTATTAAGGAAATAAATATTGATGATTGGTCTAGAGGGGAGCTTAACTGAGTTGCCATGAATTATTTAAAAATCCCAGAATATCTTCTGTTGCTTTTATAGAAGCTTGATCTACAAGTTGAAAAATCAAACTGACAGTTTGGTCTCTCGTACAAATACCCAACGTTTAGAAATGCTCTAGGCATTATAAGTACATCGTTCATGAATATAGTTTCAACAGTTCTAAAAATATCCTTTAGGAGAAGAAAAAAACACCCAAAAAACAAAACCTCTTGCAAGCCATTGTTTTACACATAACAGCAGGAAACCAAACAGAATGTCTAAGCCAAAGCGATTAACACACCCAATAATAAATGTGAGCGTTAAGTAGGAAATCTTACTCATACAATTTTTGACATTAGCGTAGGGTCTGTGGTTTACCTCCACTTCTACAGCCACACATGGTTCCAGGGCACACTGATTTAGAGTCTAATTCCAGGACAACAAGACTGAAATTCACCTTTTGAATGATGTGTAAACAGGCTCATTCAGGAGTGGCCCTGGGACCAGACACAGGTATAATTGAGCTTGCCTCAGAGACAGAAGGCAAAGCTGACAGGCAACTCCAGGAACTTTGGATATAAGAAACTAATGTAGAGTTTTGAAAGAGCTAACAATTTGTTCCTCCTTCATCCGTAACTGTGGAGGTTCCAGCTGTTTTAATGGTATACTATTACTATTCTATTGTTTTCAGTATGTATTTAGCATTCTCAGTAAACCCTATCCCATTTCTCCATATATCAAAACTTAGAGAACAAAAACATTCTATATTCTGTGGCCTCTGAGGTTCAAGTGTAGGACTGTGGCAACGATGCTTGAAATAATAACCACTTTCCATGAGTGTTCTCATCTAACTGCCCATTAAACTCCAAATAAATCTTATGATCAGCAGATATTCTACTTTTTAATAATTCAGTACAGAATCATCAATTGGCTTCATAACAAATGAGATAATAAATTCATGCTATTGTGGGCAGAAAGCTAATTTAGTAAGAAATTCCTGACAACTGAAGGAATAGGCTAAAGGAATTTTATTCTTGGTTTTCTGACATCAACAAATTATCAGGGCCAAATTCCTGCTGATTCTGAGAGAGTCCTTAATGAACAGCACAGGGGAAAAGAGAGAGAAAGAAAAGCCAAGGGGTAAGGCTATTGGGTCAAAAGTTATTTTCTCATCATTTTTCTTCATCCTTTATGGGTGGGGACTTAAATCAGTAACGCTGACTAATTATGTGCTACACCAAATGTAATTCAAATTTCCCTGTTCTTATCCTAACACATAATATAAACAGAACCAAAAATACCAATTGCTCTAGAATTTAGCAAATCTAATATTTCAAACTAGTGACTTTGAAACGTCCTAAGTCCTAAGAATACCTTAGATATTCTTTAAAAGTAGAACCTTTAAATAAACTGCAAAAGATCTGTGAAATGGATGTTCTTCTATAGATAAGATACATAAATACTTTTCAAAGTAGTAAACGACTGAAAAATGTAAGAAAGGCATACCTCATTTCTTACCTTGTTTTGATCTGTCCAGTAAAAGAAAAATCCCTGAGGGTCAGTCCTCAAAATAATTGGAGTAACAATAGTTGAGTCCTAGAAATGTAAGAAGAAACATGAATATCAACATATATCACTGTAGAAAAATCTATCCAGGAGTTATTTAAGAAGTAATAATTGTACAGATTCTCCAAAGTAGTCAATTATTAAGAAAAATTTCAAAAGAAATTAGACATGGCATTTTTAACTTCATGGAATTATCCATTATGTAACTGAGGTTCTTTCCTAATAATCAGAAGACTTATACATAACTTGTAAAGGAAAAAGCATTATGATTTATTGATTAAGGTATGTTTTCTATTAAAAATCTATATTTAGCTTTTCAAATAATTTTAACACTAAACATCATTACTTATTTTTATGATTAATATTAACTAAAATCCATGCTTAAGAATAGTATTTTAAATTACATTTGTTCCATAAAATGATTTTTAATTGTAATAGAGTAAAACATAGTATTTGAGCATCACTGTTTCCAAGGTAACAGTAAATAAGGCCATCTTCTACATATTCAGAAAGATATATACAAACTTGTTGCAAATTTCAATTTTACATGCTAAAATAAAACATCATAGGTAAATAGTCTTCTGAGTTTAAAGCATGCATAGTATAAAGCAAAACTTGGATACATTGTAATTATAATATTAAACATTTCTAAAATATGTGTTCTTTTCTCTTAGCAATTTTCAGAAAGACATACCATCTGCACAAGAAAATACATGCCACTGGATATGGATTTTTATACTGAAACACTCAGGCCTTTGCAGGAATTGCATTTTTTAGAGAGACATAAATTGCCAGTTTTTTCAATTTTTTCATACACATAACCATAGTGTGTCATATCATCTAGCTTATTAAAAGAACTTGTAATGAAAATTAGAACTTGCAGAGATAATTTTGGCATTTGGGACTTTTTTCTTCCTAATGGGCAGAGCAGTATGAATGATTTTAATCTACATATTAAGTTTTATTGTAAGAGCCTGGTTCTGGAAAATGTTCTCTGGGTTCAAATTCCTGCCTGTCCCATCTCAGTGCATAGCTTTACACAACTGAAAAAAGAAGGGAATAATCATAATACCTAACTCAGAAGGTTGCTGTGAGAAATAGCTAGGATAATTTGGGGTAAAGCATCTGGGCATGTTTGCCACATAAAAATGTTCATTATTATTATAGTGGATTATAATTAAAAACAGATGTATCAAAATACTAAATGTAAGTTTATCAGGATATTCTGTGTTACTGCAGTAAAATATACAGAACATAACATTTACTCTTTTCTAATATGCCTTTCAGTGGTATTACATGCATTCACCTTGCTGTGCTGCCATCAGCACCATCCATCTTTAGAACTTTAAATCTTCCCAAATTGAAATGCCACATGCATTAAACACTAACTCCTCATTCCCTCTTGCCCCTATAACCTGGCAACCACCAGTCTTACTCTCTGTATCCATGAATTTGACTACTCCAGGTAATTAAATAATTGGAGTATTCTAAGTAGTTATATAAGTAAAATTGTATAATATTTGTCCTTTTGTGTTTGGCTTATTTTATTTGGCATAAAGTCCTAAAACTTCATTCATGGAGCATGTGTCATATCTCCTTCCTGTTTAAAGCTGAATAATGTTCCATTTATGTATATGCCATGTCTTGTTTATCCATTCATCCACTGATGAATATCTAGGTTGTTTCCACCTTTTGGCTATTGTGAATAATGCTGTTATGAACATAGGGGCACAAATATCTATCTGAGTCCTTGGTTTCAGTATATACCCAGAAGTGGAATTACTGGATCATATGATAGTACTATGTTTCATTTTTTGAGGAACTGCCATTCTGTTTTATGCTGATATTCCATATATACATCCTTAACATGCAGTTTGAAAAATATCTTTTACAAGGACCGTGCTGTTGCAAGGAACTTCAGCTAGAATTTTAAAATTTCCCAATTACTTCTAAATGTCAAAAAAAGACATTTGGAAATAAACGATATTATAATGAAAGACTAATTTTTAAAATAGTTTAGGCTTCTTTCATGAGATTGCATGCATAACAGCTCACACCAATGTTTCCAATAAATCATAGCAATATTTTCAGTCCTGTTTTGTTACTTCTAGAAGTTGCCAAAATAAAAGTTTTGACAGGCTGCACACAGCACACATTCCCACTTCTAGAGGACTTTAGAATAAACTGTAGGTGTAACTTATCTTTTTCAGGTCAGTTTCTTTTCTTATCAGAGCATCTGACAAAATTCTAATCAAAATCTTGGTGGCGATTCCCTGCAAGGATCCCATACAATCAAATATTTAAGTGAGCAGAATAAAACTTCTAAAGGAGGCTGAGGCAGGAGAATGGCATGAACCCGGGAGGCAGAGCTTGCAGTGAGCTGAGATCGCACCACTGCACTCCAGCCTGGGTGACAGAGCGAGACGCCGTCTCAAAAAAAAAAAAAAAAAACTTTTCAAAATTTATATTTAGGAACACTGTTCTATGCTGCCTAGTTTGTTTCAGATACTTCCATTTCTAGCTTATTCCTTCCCCTCCTTCAAAATTAACCCTTCTTTGTTCAATGTTTTCTTGACCCCACTCTTCCGGCCACAGTTCCTCTGTTAAGTGATCATTTATCTCGGCTCCCTGCCCGCTTCCTTCATAATCACCTCTAACATTCCAAGATCAGCTGGAACTTGGCATTCTTGCCATGCAAAGTAGGATCTGACCCAGAAATATATGAATGTCTATTTTCAATTCCACCTGCTTGTTTTCCCACCTCCCACATAGCTGCTAGTATCTATATTCTCCCCATACCAAAGTAGCCACTCAACCCAGATCCCAAATATTCTTAATTGTCAGAACATATACCCAGGTTTGAAACTTGAAATATATGACCATCCTTCATTGACAAAGGAGCTGCAGATGGGTTGCGACTCTTGGGACCTTTGACTGTAGAATGATGAAGACAGCTCTCAGATGGTCTATATTTTAATCCTTTACCTCTCCATCAACATCTATAACATGTGTGTATTTCATAAGATTGTGGTTTTTAAACTTGCCTATGCATCAAGTTCACTGAGAGATCTTGTAAAAACACAGATTGCTGGGCTCTTTCTCCAGAGTCCCTCATTTAGTAGCTCTGGGACGGAGTCTGAAAATCTGGACTTCTAAGAAGCTCATGGTGATGCTGATGCTGTTGGTCCAGGGGCCACACTTACAAAACCACGGATGTAGGCCTACAATAGGTGAGGCTTTGGGTCAGGAATAGGATGATGTTTACCTCCAAGAACACCTGTGACCTTAGAATGCAGGCAAACCATATCTTGTGAGTATATTGCTTCTAAGAATTCAACTCTAATTTACTTAAAGTTGTATTTTTTCTGATAAATGTTTGTCTGTAAAAAAGAAAACCAATAAACATACTTGTCTTAAGTTAGTAATAGCAGATAATGTTCAGTAAATTTCTACTTGCTGCTCTTTATTTGATATAATACGTTTTACTGTCATTCCTATATCATAAATAGTGAAGATTAATATAGTAATTAAGAAGATGTTATTTAGTAATTTACATGAATCTCTAAAGAGTCTTTAAGCCAAATCAAAAACAATCAAGGGGCAAAGCAAAAGACCTTAACAAAACCTCGAAATCCTGAAGAATGAGAAACAATTCAGCAAGAAAAAAAAGAGTCACTGGAATCAACATTAACATTACAATGATTTGCTCATCAATGCACTGATATAAGTCAATAATAAATACTAAAGAAACTGAGACGAAATGACAAAGGCACCACTAATCCAAACTCACTTCTAATACCAGTATACCTTTTTATAAAAATCCCTGACTGAATAGTAACTGATACATTCTCAACATTTGCTCTGAGCCAATCACTGTGGTGAACTTCACGTGGCTTTTCTCCTTTAATACTTACAATAACTTAAGAGGTAGACACTATTATTATTCCCATTTTACAGATACCTAGACCAAGGCTTGGGCTAAGTGACTTCCTCAAGGAAAGCCAGTTAAGCTGGTATGGGAAGCACTGGAAATTAAACCTTCAAGTACGCACTCTATAACAGTGCTTCTCAACTTTTTCCATTATTGCCCTGCAAGGGAGGCTTTTTAGGTTTTTATTTTTCTAATCATCCCCCATGACACTTCAATATTGCAGATAGGCTGAATATCTGTTTATATGCTGTATGTATAACTGTGCCTTATACCAAAAAAAAAAAAAACAAAAAAAACAAAAACAGTAAGAAGATTTCTTTTGTTCCCCAAAACCACTTTTCGTTTCCTTGGAAGCGACATGGCCCCTGTTGAGAATGGATGCCCTATACTGGTGCTGTCCAGTACAGGAGCTGCTGTGGCTCCCTTGTGACTACTGAGCACTTGAAATGCGACTGCTGAGACTAAGATGTGCTGCAAGATTTCAAAGACTAAGAATGGAAACAGGAATAGAAAATAGCTCACTAATGATTTCTGACATTGATTACATGTCAAAATGCCTACAGTGGATTAAATTAAATATAGTATTCGTATTAATTCCATCTGTTTCTTTTTTACTTGTTTTAATGAGGCTACTAGAACATTTACAAGTGTCCTGTGTGGCTCACGCTATATTTCTGTTAGGCAGGGCAACTCCAAACCTTCACAGGGACACTCTTTAACAGGGAGATTTCTCACAAAGCAATCTCAGTGCTCTTGTCACACAATTCCAGCAAGGCAGTTTATGGTTTTATCCACATATGCAGCTACCATTTAATTTTTAACATTTAAATAGTACAAAATAAATCTAACTTCTTCTCTAAGTGTCAGTTCTTCAATATCTAACTAGAGCTGTCATGTTGCTACCCTCTGAGCTACGCTTTACCAGGCGGAGGTATGTCACCAGGTTTATCGTGGCCTCCTCCCCAACAACTCACATGTTGAAGTCCTAATCCCCAGTACCTCAAAGTGTGATCTTATTTAGAGATAGGGTCTTTACAGATATGATTAAGTTAAAAGGAGGCCTTAGAGTGGGCCCTAATCCAGTATGACTGGTGTCCTTATAAGAAGAGAACATCTGGACACAGGCATGTACAGAAGGAAAATGATGTGAAGATGCAGGGAGAAGCAGGCCATCTACCAGCCAAGACGAGAGGCCTGGCACACATCCTTCCCTCACGGCCCTCAGCAGGAAGCAACCCTGCTGACACCTTTATCTCCCACTTCCTCCCAAACTGTGAGAAAATAAATTTCCGTTGTGTAATCCACCCAGGCTATGGTCCTTTGCTATGGAAGTCTTAGTAAACTACTACAAAGCATAACCCTAAACCTCAAGGCTCATGTCAAGGGCCAGTCCACAGACCCATGGCACATTCCTCAGCACCACTGTCAGAAAGTCTCCTGGCCAAGGTTGACCACAATTCTCACTCCACAGCGATTCTCATGTTTTTATGGTATTACAAGAGAACACACATGAATAGAGGCATGCACGTCTAAACTAATCGATACCACAGAGTCAACAGGAAAAGTAACAAGCGATGTTCCACAGGGATTGCCCAAGACTTGCATCAGGAAGCAGCAGGGCCAAATACAGCAAATAGAGACACTGGGGGGAAAACAGCTATGCAACGGGCAAAGAGTTCTAAGGGTCACAGAAAATCAGATGTGATGCTTGTCAAACTAAACATGAGCAATACAGCCCTGACTATGAAATGAAAACATTATAAACGTAGTCTTGGATGCCAGGTGAGGAATTAAGATCATTGGAGTAAAACATCCACGTGTATCAGCATTGATGAGACTTTTCCTCCAGGAGTGTCTCTACTCTGAAATTTCCCAAAATAAAGAAAAGCAGAAGAGATGAAGAAGGTCCAGAGTAGAGGGTGCAAAACAGTGGAGAGAAGCAATGTGAAGATACTGGCTTCCTACAGAACAAGCAGAAAAATCCCTTTTAACACAATGTAGGGAAATGTTGGAAGAATTGTTCTTCAAGTGTCGTGCAAGATCCTTCAGATAATCCACGAGAGAACCAAATTAAAGCCCAGATCCCAAATCAACCGAGGTGCTCCTGGCTTAGTGGGGGCATCAGATGAGAAAAACCAATAATTTCAGTAACATATAGCTCTGGTGGGTATGCAGTGGCACCTCAATGTGTTTTTTAATTTGCATTTCTCCAATGACTAATGATGTTAAACATCTTTTCATGTACTTATTGGCCTTTGGGGTGGCGGGGAGGGCAGTGAACTGGCCGGATACTTTTAAAAGCATAGTATATCATTTATCATTTTCATCAGTGGTTCTCAACTGGGAGCAATTTTGCACCCCAGGGGACTTTTGGCTATGTCTGGAGACAATTTTGGTTGTCACTACTGGGAGGCTTTGCAACTGACACCCAGTATCTAGAGCGAGGGATACTGCTAAATATCGTATAATACACAGGCCAGACTCCACAACAAAAAACTACTGGGACCAAATGTCAATGGTGCCAGGGTTGAAAACATGGTTTTAATGGTTTCTGGTTGACTTTATACGTCTAAAATCCTGCAAGGACCTACGCAGTATATATGCAGGCCCTTGCCATCCAACCACATTATCTGAGCCACACTCTCCTGTGCTAATTCTGCTTCTCTCCTTCAAAATCTTGTGTTCCTTGGCTCTTTGGAATACCCACACCTGCTGTTCCCTCCACCTGACACATTCTTCTACTCATGCTGGCCTAAATCCCACTTGTCATAAATAGAATTTTCCAGGGAAACCTTCCATGCTTCCTATACTCACTTGTACTTTTTTTCCTTCATAGCAGTTATAATGAAAATAATTGTACCTCTATTTGCTTAGCATCTGTCTCCGCAATAAGGGCAGGCATGAAATCATTAATCATCATCAATCCACAACACTAGCACAATGCTTAAAAGAGACATCAGTACATTTTTAAAGTATGACTGGTGAATGAATGGATGAAGGGGTGGAAGGTACTGCAGCAAATAAAAACAAGGAAGATTCTGAAAAACATCAGTTGGGGTTGCTGGGAGCCATGTTGCCCACAGCCATGATAAAGAAATTTCAAAGTAGTGGTGAGGGCAGAAAAAGACTTTGGAAGGCTGAGAAGAAGTAGGTAGGAGGTAAGGACAGGGAGACAGTGACTATAAGTTACACTTGCATAGTAGAGGGAAGGAGATGAAGAAGAAGACGGTAACTAAAGGAGGAAAAGGGACTGGGGAACATTGTGTTGGTTTTGAGGTTGGGATTTTTACTAGTAAAGGCATATTGCTATGTTCTTAGGAAAGCTTCAACTGAGGGGAAACTCATATAGACACTGTTAAAAGAAAGGGGAGTGGTGTCAGATAATAATGAAGTCAGGATTCAGAGATGCCAGGAAGGTCGAGCTCCAAAATATAAATGCAGAAGGTGAGGTATTTCTCAGGGGCAGGAGGGCAGCTGGAATAATGGAGGTGGCCCAAGTACATTAAACGAGGAGTGGAGAAAGGAGGAAATTAAAAGCATTGTTCCAGGGACTTCCATTGCCTCTGTACACAAAGAATAGTGTAGGTGGAAGTTCATTATAAATCAGATTTAGAACTATGTCTTGTTACTTTTCTCACTTTAGCAATAAAGCACAAGTATTCTTTTTTCTCTTTGTGAATCATTATCGTGATAGGATGTTTTCACAACCATGCATCTTTTGTTCTGTCACTCCCAACGCTTCTGAATTTCTTTAAGGGCTTTTCATTGCAATATTTGGGTGTATGGGTGAGCATATTTTTCAGAAAATAGGAACTAATGGTAAAATTTAGAATATGAGAAATAAATACATTAAGCATCATCACCTTCAACCAATATTGAATTGCAGTGTAGTATACACTCAATCTTAAGACATATTTGGACCTTAAATGAAATCAGCACTGTAACAGCAGTGAGCTCTGCATTGCCAATAAATAGTTTCCTTCTCAAACACACATGGAGAAATCCCATTTAAGAAGGTCACAGAGTCCCTTAGGACCCTAGGAGATTTCAGATGGAATGGAAGGACAAGGAGCAAGGTGTTCCAACCAATGTAACACAACACCTCAAAGGTCACGAAGGTCTCATAGGAGCATGACTGCCCTCCAGGTCTGCCTCAAGGCTGCACACTCCCCTGTGTGAACCCACTGTGAGCCAGACAAACACCAGACAGTTCCTTCATTCCACAAATATCCCCTGAGCATCAGCACCTCCCAGTGCCAGGCCTATGCTCTCCCCTAGGGAAAAAAATAATAATGATAATTATAAAGCTATAGCCCTCCAGAAGTCCTGCTCTAGTTGTAATATAAACAAGGCCTATCTACCTCCCTGCACAAGTAATATAGATCTGGCCTCTCAGTTGACACTGTCTTGCATTCTGCATCGTGCTTGAGAGCAGGCAACTCACCCTCTACATTTCCTTCATGTCTACCATATTCTTGTTCTTCCATGGTCCATGATTTCTATGAGAGGCCATGGGACAAGCCTAAATAGGAATCAGCAAAAGACAACATTTACACGTATGTCGAGAAGAAGAAAAGGTGGAGTAACAGATATAAAGAGTCTTGCTGAATGCAGAAATGTCACTTACTCGACAATGAAAAAAAGACCTTTAACACCATACCTGAATACCTGTCTTTCCACATGCATGTTTCCACGCTGACTGACTGATGTAGAATATCTTTAAAGACTATAGAGCATACATTGCCCCCTCCTTTTTTTTTTTTTTTTTTTCGGAGTATCGCTCTGTCGCCCAGGCTGGAATGCAGTGGCGCGATCTTGGCTCACTGAAACCTCTGCCTGCCTCCTGGGTTTAAGTGATTCTTCTGCCTCAGCCTCTCGAGTGGTCGGGATTACAGGTGTGCACCACCACACCCAGCTAATTTTTGTATTCTAGTAGAGACGGGGTTTCATCATATTGGCCAGGCTGGTCTTGAACTCCTGACCTCAAGTGATCCACCTGCCTTGGCTTCCCAATATGCTGGGATTACAGGCGTGAGCCACTGCGGCTGGCCTGCCCTTTTTGTCTCAAAGCAGCAATGAGGTTTTCCAATGCTCACACATCTTGCACAGTGTAGACAAAAACGGACTGTACATACACCATGAAAAAGAGCTATTTTGAAGACAATAGCTCAAAAACTGAGTTTGCAGGGATCTAAGCTTCATATGTATGAATCCTAAAAATAACAGAGATTCTTTGGAAAAGTCTATCAATCTCTTCAAACTTGTATTCATTTAGACTCTATTAAAAGCTTTTTGTTGGCCACGTTCGGTGGCTCACATCTATAATCCCAGCACTTTGGGAGGCTGAGGCGGGTGGATCATGACATCAGGAGTTTGAGACCAGCCTGACCAACATGGAGAAACCCTATCTCTACTAAAACTACAAAATTAGCTGTGCGTGGTGGCACAAGCCTGTAATCTCAGCTACTCAGGAGGCTGAGGCAGGAAAATCGCTTGAACCGGGGAGGCAGAGGTTGCGGTGAGCCGAGATTGCGCCATTGCACTCCAGCCTGGGCAAAAAGAGCAAAACTCCGTCTAAAAAAAAAAATAAAAAAATAAAAAGTTTTTTGTTGTTGTTGTTGTTACTAAAAGGACCCTGTTCGGGGACATCATGGTAGACTGGAAAGGACACTGAATTTGGCCAGAAGACGTAGTTTTAAATTCCTATTCCAGATCTACTTAGTTATGTGCCCTTCGACAAATCACAATCACTAGCCTCGATTTGCTTCTACGTGAAATGCAAAAGACAAACGCTTGCTCTTTTTCCTACCACCCGAGGTGGTCTTAATGACTGAACAGGGGTAAGCAGGGCTGCTATATAAGCATGAATGCCTGCTATTAGGACTTAGTCTGGATTTTGAATTCCAGAGGAAATATTACAGCAAAACTTCATTTTACTCAACAGTAGTACTGAAGGAGAAAACTATGTAGGATACTTAGATGATTATTATATTTAGGACTGAAAGCTGTGAAATCCTAGAACCGCAAAAGGCCATATCAGCCAGGATTTGGTGCGAGAAACAGAAATTTCTCTTGAATTTTGAAGATAAAGGGACTTAATATAAAGTAAGCACTTGACAGAAAAACTGGAAGGGTTGGAGGAGCAGGCTTTAGGTTGGCTCTCCATGAATGATCTCAGAACATAGCAGCACAGACCCTTGGGGAGAGCTATTGTATCTACCACATTCAGAAAGGTGAGAAATCAAGAAGGAACTCCCGGGGTCCAAACAAAACACCAGCTTTGTTGAAGCCAAAGAAGTGTAAGCTGCCAACAGGGAGTGGCCACTGTCACCACTGCCTCTCAGAGACACTGAAGAACTATTACAGAAAGTCCCACCTCTTTTAGCTTCTCACGTATCTGTAGAAACAACCCAAAGGATGCAGGAAATTGGCCCCTTTAATGTTTCTGCCCTCCATATCTCATATGCATGAATTTATTTGGTGGAAATATTAATTTTCAAGAAGAATGTTCGTCAAAAAGGAGTCTGGTAAATGTAGCTTTAGAAGTCCAGATTTTGTATTATAAGAAGTCCTACTAAGAGGATGTAGGAATCGATGCTATGTGAGATTCAACCATATCCAACACAGCACACCTGGGGAGGATCATGATTGGCATCTTTAACATTTTTTGACCAGATCAATTGCTGATTCGCTCTATGGTTTTCCAGCTTCATGAGCTTGTATGGCTTCTTCTATAAAATGGATTAAAATTAAATTAAATTTCCCTTACTCTTAACTATTTCATAGACAACTTCCAAAAAAAATGTTTTTTTTAATGGCAAAATAATATCTTAATCTTCTAGATATCAATGCTATATATTGATATCCATGTGACTACTTCAGGTAAATGTTTTCTTTACTAACTAATCCACTTTCTGTGATCTTGTACATTAAACGTCAATTCAGTAAAAAGAAACAGAACATTAACCAAATATTGTAAACAAAAAAAGCCCTTGAAGGCCGGGTGCGGTGGCTCACACCTGTAATCCTAGCACTTTGGGAGGCCGAGGTGGGCAGATTACCCGAGGTCAGGAGTTCCAGACCAGCCTGGCCAACATGGCAAAACCCCCGTCTCTACTAAAAATAAAAATAAAAATAAATTAGCTGGGCATGGTGGCATGTGCCTGTAATCCCAGATACTCCGGAGGCTGAGGCACGAGAATA
Source organism: Homo sapiens (assembly GCF_000001405.40). Classification (NCBI taxonomy): domain Eukaryota; kingdom Metazoa; phylum Chordata; class Mammalia; order Primates; family Hominidae; genus Homo; species Homo sapiens. The sequence goes on along the minus strand of NC_000020.11, from coordinate 8,139,189 downwards.
GCTTGAACCCGGCTGCAGAGGTTGGCAGTGAGCCGAGATGGTGCCACTGCACTCTAGCCTGGGTGACAGAGCAAGACTCTGTCTCAAAAAAAAAAAAAAAAAAAAAAACCCTTGAAATAAAAGACAGATGTAGGATGCTTTTATTTCTGTTTTAATATAAATAAAATAATTTTAGTATAAATAAAAATAACTTTTTTCCAATTTTATATAATAGTTTGTTACTCAATTTATAATAATTTAGTTTCTTGATAAATGCATAGATTTAGTCAACCTCAATTAATAGGTACATGCAAACCATTTTTGGAATACAAATTGAAATAAAAATTTTGAGAATTAACACATGGTAATGATAATAAAATCGAACATTAGCTCTTAAAGAGATCAGAGGAAAACCAGAGAGACTCTTAAAGAACATAAGCATCCTTTATAATCTATTCCAATTAGTTAGTTCCTTTATATCCTATTTCAGTTAGTTAGTTACAAAAATCAATGGCTTTTTTATGGTCATATATGTAAATGACCTCAGAAATATGTCTATATTTCCTTTGCCTACTTACACATAGGGGCACAAGGCTCTGCTTAGGGGGATCAGACATAGAACAGAAAGGGAAAAGATTAGATGGAAAAGACTGTGAAATATGCCTGAGCATTTGGAATTTATGATATGATCTGAAAGGTTGCATGAACCTAATTATTAGCTCCAGTAACAAGAAGACCAATGATTTCAGTTACCAGGGGTTTGTTATTTAAGTGGAGACCCATAGCGTTAGTCAACAATTCACCAGCAATCCCCTTCCATTTTCTGCTGGCGATTCTTGTTCATGATAACATGAAACAATTCTGATAAGGAAACATTTACAGTTTACCAAATCCCACATAAAAAAGTAAAATGTTCCCATTCCATTTATATACCATTGCAGATAAATATAACTTGAAGCTATTTACTGATAGGCTAAACTTTCAAATGAAACTAATAGCCACTGCAAATTATCCTCATTCACCATAGGTGGGGAAATATTAGTGTTAAGCAAGATAAGAGAGAAAACCTATGAGAGAAAATTATATTCCAGCAACAGTACTGTACTAGTCAGCTTTGCCATGCCAATAACAGCCTGAAGGCATTACATTTCCTCTGTAAATTACTAGGGTTTTGTTGAACTGTTTGCTCCTTCAGGGCATTTACTATACCTGCTATACTTCCCAGACTTGGGACAGACAAGAACCCAATCAATGGCCATCTAAACTGACTGTAAGTCACTTTTGTTGCTGTTGTTCAAGAGGATCAGTTCAGCAATAATAAAAATGTTTTAGGCTGAAGAGGTTTTTTTTAAAGTTTTCATTCAAAGTAAAAATAGCTTATTAGATTAAAAACAAGCAAAACCAAACTATAAAGTTAGAAGTCAAGATAAGGGTTACCCTTAGAAGGGGACGTAGGGACTGGAAGAGAGCACTCAGGAATTCTGGGGCAAGTGATGCTGTTTCTTGATCTGGTACTGATGACATGGCAATGTTCACTTTGTGAAAATGGATCCAGCTGGACACAGGATTTGTGTGTTTTGTTGTACGCATGTTACACTGATTTTTTAAAAAGTTTCAAGTAGTTTTATTGATTTGCTTGCAAAAGAGTTATGCTCTTACACTTAGATTACAGTAATTATTGACTGCCAATGAGAAATTCTCAAAGCTCTTTGGACAAGAAAAATGGACATAACTGGGCAAATTTAAGTGGCTCCTTAGAGGGCATCTGCTAGCCTTCCATTCTAAAATCCACCTTGCACTTTGTAGTTGCTCCATCCACATCAGCCAGCTACCAACTCAGAGAAGTTTCCTCCCTGTTTCCCATAACCTTTCCAAAGTGAACGCTACTAAATTCCCACCTCGCAAACCCTTTTCCCCTCTGCTCTCTCATTAATCTTGTGAGTGTCATCTTGTCATCATTTACTTGTCATCATTTTGGAAACTGGAACAGCAGATTCCACATAATGCAAAAGTTCTAAGCTTTTGTGTAGGATGCTGGGAAGTGTGCAATATACTAGTATTTCTTAAATTACCTGTTTTAGCTGTGGGGGTTGGAGGTGTGGTAAAGGAGGGAGTTACTTGATTCAAATCCAGATGGCATTAACGCAAATCCAAACTTCTGAGTTTCATCAGACTTCTCAGACAACTTAGTCTAGCAATTATTTTTCCATGTTAGAATATGCTTGTAAGACAGAACGTGCAATGTTAAATTATATACACATATATACATAAATATATTTTATATGGAATTTAAGTAAAAATAAACTTTTGGATTATTTGTAAACTGACTTGCTGTAGAGAATGGATCCTGCTCTAAATTACGTACTTATTTTCCGTGAAACACCTGGATTTTTAAAAGAAGGTGAGAAACCTGATTTTTCTCCAAATTATAAAGTATAAAATCAAAACACACATTAAAGGGAATGGAAGTAAGGTCTGAATTTTTCCACTAGTAGAATAAAAGAGCCATAGAACACCTGCTAATCACCTTGATAAAATTCACGTCCATCTTATTTTTGAGGGACAATAACTTTTTTTTTTTTTTTGAGACAGAGTCTTGCTCTGTCGCCCAGGCTGGAGTGCAGTGGCGCGATCTCGGCTCACTGCAAGCTCCGCCTCCCAGGTTCACGCCATTCTCCTGCCTCAGCCTCCCGAGCAGCTGGGACTACAGGCGCCCGCCACCACGCCCGGCTAATTTTTTGTATTTTTAGTAGAGAGGGGGTTTCACCGTGTTAGCCAGGATGGTCTCGATCTCCTGGTCTTGTGATCTGCCCGCCTCGGCTTCCCAAAGTGCTAGGATTACAGGCTTGAGCCACCGCGCCCGGCCGACAATAACTTTTAAAAACATGTTTTATTGAAGGTTGCCTGTATGTCAGGCTTTATACAAAGCAATGCATATGCATTCATTTATTTAACCTCAACAGCTGTTCTGAGTTAGGAAATATTACAATTTGCATGTTACCGTTGAGGAAACTGAAGTTGGGATGCGTTAAGCAACCTGCCCACAGTAAGATCTGAATTTGAAAGGTAAGAATGAAGAAACAGAAGGAATAAATAAATGAAAACCCTTCCATCCCTCAGAGGTTGTGCGACAGTGAGACAGAGTGCTTAGGCATGGAAAACAGGGCCAAATCAGTGGCTGGGGGTCCTATTGTACAGTTTACAGTCCTTGCTCTTTCTCTCCATGTCCTGCCCAATATAGACCAAGGCCAAGATCCAGAAGAGAGAGGAGCTTCTCTCACAATCTCCCAAGCTCCCTAGCTTAGATCAAGAAAGTAACTCTCCTTCCACTGTCTACCTCACCAGAATTCTCCCACAAATACCCATAGTCCTTTACACCCACCTCCTACCACCAGAGCCTGCTAACAGACAAATGCAAAACAAAAGCAAAGACATGAGGTTGAATTTTTTAAATATCATTAGGTCAGTCCTTTATCTTCATGCCAAGTTCAGAAGGACAGGTATAGCCTTGATGTTCAGACAATATACACCATGAGTTTTAAAATACTGAAATAGTCAAAAAAACTCCAGCTACCTACCCACCCATCCACAGACCCTGGGGACTCCCAGACCTCCCCATGACCAAGCAGCAAAAATATTAACGCCTGGCCCTGGTACAACAGGGTATCTCCAGGATCTATTACCCCCCTGCTGTCTGTTGTGATTGTTTAGTGCCTATGTTAAAGCTTTCGACTACCACCCTTAGAGCATCCACAGCCTCACTGTGACTTGGTAGGTGGCCAGCAAATTATGCATGGCACTGCAACCTCTGGGTGACATCTTCCATTCCATATGGTGGTCAAGACAACAAGACCAGTGATTATACTGCTTTAATCACTTCAGGAACAAGAGATAATTTCTTCACATCCTAAACAGCCCCAAATTCATCATTTTTGAATGTCCTGTAACATTACCACGCTTTTACACAAGAAGCAGCAAAAATACAGAGAAGCTAAGTGATTTGCCTAAAGTCATGCAGCTTACTGGTGAAAGAACTAGGAGGTAAACTCAGGCCTTTGATTCAAGATCTGGTTCTTTTTTGTCTTCAACACACTGTCTCACTAAGGTACAATATAAATAGCCAGATAACTTGAACTGGCTTGATTCTGGAAGGGCAAATACGAGCTGAGAAGAGTAGAAAAGGGATGCCTGGGGAAGAGAAAGGCAACCTTAAGAAAGGCTGGGTCCCTTGTAGTCCACTGATCAGCATGAAGACCCAGAGAACCAAAGAGCCTGCAAGATAGCTCATTATATTCCAGATAACTTGACTCCTGAGTGCAGTCTAGGTTTTTTTTTTTTTTTTAAAAAAGACCTGAAATTCTTCTGGTCTTCTCCTTAGTGACTATGTCCTTTCTTTCAGGAGGGCTTCCTTGGAAACTCACTGCTGCAATGCTCAGAAGGAGCTCTTTTCAACTTCTTCTTTGGTTGGTATTTCACTAACGTCCTCTCTATTACCCTCAATGCATCACCCAATCTCTCTCTCATTGGTGTTTTTGATGATTTTTGTCTCCTCCACCTAGCATGTAAGGTCCGTAACAGCAGGGATTTTGTCTACTTTTTTCACCACCCCAGAATCCAGTCTAGGATTGGCAGTAATAGGTGAGCAAGAAATATGTGTTACAGAAATGCACATAATGAAAGTCATCTACCTGGATATACCAAAATGTGTTTTCATAGAATACTTTCATTCTCAATGTGATGTTGGCTATTCTCTCCCAAACAAGAAATTATAGAGAATTATTTAAAATACAGTTTAGAATCATCACTGTATACAAATCCAGAGCTTACGCTGAAACTCCCTTTTCTAAATTCTGCAAAGTCTCTTTCTCTTTCCTCTGCCCTTCACTCTCTTTCTCAGTAAATCCATCATCACATCACCTCTCTATTCAAGGATCTCAAAATGGGCAAGACCGTCTTGTTTATTGCTGAACTGCATTTTCTTTGTCTTTTTTTTCCCTGACACAAAGCATTTAATCTGCGTCTGAATTTATTGTTTAGATTCTATTCCATTTACAGAAACATTCAGTACAATTAGACTGGAACAGAAAGAAGAAAAGTGTGAAGCCCATGGTAAAAAGATGTATGTTTACATCCTTGCCTACAGCATTTAATAATTGGCACGAGCTTTCAAGGAAGCTGTGGTTCATACTCCAAGTTCCGTTTGCGCTTCCAGCTGGACAAAATATAGACACAGACGCACTCAGCTAAGTAATTGGATTCACTACCTGGAATATTTAAATTGTTTTCAGACACTGGAAAATGGCTTAAGAAGATTAAAGAAAAATACCCTAGAGGATAACAGGCTATAATTTACTAGGTGGAAAATCTTTTCGGCAAGAAGAACGCCTCATTCTCCTATAATTCCTTCTGATTAAGAGATGTATTAGTCATTTGGACTTAAATTTGCTTAGAGCCTGGCAACTCGGGTTTATTTCAGTAGGTTTTTCTTATCGAACCTTTAGAATGACACCCAGGACATAAAACTGATACCATAATGTTCTCCATCCGAAGATTCGCATGTTTTCAGCTGGATAACTAATTTACGTGTTTTGAAGACAACTGGGGTAGAGGGGAAGGGGAAGTCATTTGAAGTCCTGGGGTCTGGGCCGCTCGTAAAGCATTAGAGACCCCGGCGCTGGGCTAGGCTCTGCCCTACCTGGCAAACGGTGCAGGTAAATCGTGGGGCAAACTCTCAACCTGTCTATTTCAGGCAGAAGACTCCAATCAGCTCAGTTCTCAAAAGTCAGCCCTCCCCACTTGCCTGCAGGCCCATGAGCCCTCCAGGACCCCTCAAGGGCCCCCATTCTGTTCACGCCCTCCCCAGATGTGTCCCCGCAGCCCTTTTCAGGGACCCTCACTCCGGAGCCAGGCGCTGAAGTTTGGCATCAACGACCACCTGTTGGCTGGACCGTTGTGTCCTCCGCCGCCTTGGCTCCCACAAAAGCGCCAAGAGGGTTCGCAATCACTAAAGTGTTTTGAACTTCAGGTCCTTCCTTCTTGAAATCGGGCAAAAGAGGTAATAGGGGGTGCGTCCGCAGGCGGAGAGGGACGCGATTTGTTCACACCAGGCGCTTTCCAGTTGGTCCCAACTTCACACTCCCTACTTTCCGAACTCTCAGGACCTGTCACCAGGCAAAGCTTGCCCCTCCCTCTCCACTGGCCCAAAAGATGTAAGACCCTCAGGGGGCGCCTGCCAGACCCAGAAAGGATGGCAACTACTGAAGCCCGATGAAACAGGAGCGCGCGCAAAGCTTCTGCCCTTGGACATCCGCTTTGGCAGATGCCAACCTGTGCGCCCGAGGCTGCCCCTGCCCGCTCCCAGTGCGCCCATTGCATAACGCGCCCCTTGCCCCACCCCCACGACGCCCGCCCTGCCCGGTGCCCGAGCCAGCGCCCCGACTCGGGCCGCCCCAATACTTACATCATCCCACTTGACGAATTTGGTGCCCTTCTTGAGGCTGTCGGACACGCACACGGGCTTGAGTTGCAAGGCGTGCACTCCGGGTTGAGCCCCGGCCATCTGGGCTCATCTGGGCTCCGGGCGGCCCGGGCGAGCGCGGCAGGGACTGGGGACCGTGCGCGGGGCGCGGGGCGCGGGGCGCGGGCTCCTTTCTCTGCTCCGGAGGCGCTCGACTCTGCTCCCCGCCGGCCTCCCCGGCCTCCCGGCCTCCGCACCTCCCTCCGGCGCCGCTCAGCAGGCAGAGCGCGCGGGGGCGCAGCGCCCGGCCATGCCCCGGGCGGGACGCGAGGTCTGGAGCCCGCGGTGGATGAGGAGCCTCGGAAGGCGAAGAGAAGCCGAGCCGGTCAGCCGAGGCTGCCAGTCGCGGCGGATTCTGCTCCTCCGCCGCCGCCGCCTCAAAGCGCACCATTCAGCACATCCTCTATACACAGAGGGAGAGAGCGAGTGACACACGCCCGGCGCCCCCCCTAACCGCTCTTTTCCCTCCTCCCTCCTCCTCCCCCCCGCCCCCCTTCCCCGCCACCCTCGCTCGCTGGGTCCTTCCTTCCCCCCGCGGCTCCCAGCCCAACTTTGCACGCTGGGTCAGGCGCCAGGAAGCGGGGACGCAGCGGCACCTCCTGGCTCCCGAGCCCCATTGCAGCCAACGCCTGCCTCCCGCATTCGCTCTGAGCATGCCCCGTGCCCTGGTTGCAGAGGTGCTAGGGGTCCCCAGGAGCCTTACGCTCTTTGGGGTTTTCTTGGGAATTTGGGCTCGAGCTCCGGAGCGTCTTTGGATCCCAACTGGCTGGGAAAAGGGGCCCATCGGGAGGAACCAAAGAGGCAACCCCTGGCTTTTGGCTCTAGCTGGAGCTCTCCAGCGCCAGCCACAAACCAGCTTTTTGAAGAGAATTATCATTTATCAGCAGAGAAGAGCGCAGTTGAGAGGCTCTTTGAGGAAACCTGGCCGCGCCTGAGAGTTTGCAGCGCGCTGATCTTGAAACCCGGGCAAACGGTTACGTTGTGCTTTCGAGACAGAAAGCCCATCCTAAAGAAAGCAAAGGTTTTATTTTCCGAGGAAGAAAGAGGGTGCCCTCTCCCGCTCCTCTCCTTGAGTGTGTAGGATGTGTGGCGGGTGGGGGAGAGTCTTATTAATAGAAACTTGCTCATTTAGGAACATAGGTCCAGGAATGTTTGTCTTCACTCCTTCCACAAACATTTCTCAATTCAAGAAAGAAAGGGAGGGAGGGAGGGAAGAAGGGAAAGAGGAGGACCAGAATGGATAAAATTTTAAAGACTGGTAATACCAAATGCTTGAAAGGATGTGGAGCAACTGGAACTCTTTTTTTTTTTTTATTAAGGAGAGAGAGGAGAGGGAGAGAGAGAGTGAGTGAGTGTGAGAGAGAGAAAGAGAGAGAGAGAGAGACACACGCGGGAGGTGGGGGGGCGGAGAGAGAAATAGCTTGGAACTCTTGTTCATTGCTGGAGGGAATATAAAATAGTAAAACCACTTTGGAGAATAGTTTCTTATAAAGTAAGATATTTACTTATCATACAACCTAGAAATTCCACTCCTAAGTATTTGTCCAAAAGAAATGAAAACGTTCAAGTCTGCAGGGACTTGTAAAGTGATGTGAAGAACTTTCTTCTTAGTAGCCTGCAAATGTCAATCAACAGGTGAATGGATAAACAAACTGTGGTATGCCCAAATATTGGAATACTATTCCACAATAAAAATGAGTGGGCATGCAAGATCAGGGATGAATCGCGACTTTAAGCTTTGTAAAAGAAGCCGGACACGATAGACTGTATGCTGCCTGATTCCATGTGTAGGAATTGCAGAATAGGCAAGATATTCTATGTTGACAGAAAGCTTGCCTGTGGCCAGGGATAGGTAGAGATGGACAGGGAAGGGCTACGAGCACCTGATGAGCATGTCGGAAATGTTCTATATCGTGTGTGTGTTTATCAAAACTTGTAAGTTCTGTAAGTACGCCTAAATTGAGTGCAGTTTGTTTTAAATAAATTATATCTCAAAAAGGTTGATTTTTAAAAAGAAGAAAGAATACGAAGAGAGAAAAATGGAGAGAAACACTACATTCTCTTAATCCTTCATTCTCCCTGTTCTCTGCCCTCAGGACTCCAAGGCCCAATGCTTATGAACTCAGTCAAAAGATTACCAAAATCCAATACAGAAATTTGCTATTAAATATTTCAATGCATTTAAAATATACTTATTGGTAGCCAGCTGTATACTAGCCACTATTGTAATCACCATGGATAACCTGGTGAACAAGACCCATGACTCTTGCTGTCATTTGAGGGTCTTGCCTTGTGCTTGGAAGCCAATTGCTACAAAGAATTTCATGAAAAACTGACTGGTTTCATTTTGATCACATGTCCCTAAACTAAAACCTGAATGGTCCACAGTCCCTCTAGCCAGCAGCCTTGGCTTGCTAATTACCTCACAGAAGGTATCAGTCACCGTCTCAAGTCGATTTTCTCTACTTCAGAGTACTGCAATGAAACTCTGCTTCCAGGGCTCCAGAACTTCTCAATTGTCCTTACAACTGATCATACCAAATTGTTTTCCTTTCCTTTCCTTTCCTTTCCTTTCCTCCTTTCCTTTCCTTTCTTTTCCTTTTCTCCTTCTATCTCTTTGTTATTTACTGGAAAGATTATTGGCCAAATAGTTTTTACCTGTCACAGTGGCTTAGGAAGGCAAGACAGGGCTGCGCTCACTAGAAGAGGAGATTGGAGAGTTACAATGAGCTCTAAGCAAAATAAGAAGTAGATTGAGCCTCCTGTGGTAGTTTATTGCATCATAGCTCTCTGCTCCCTGCTCCTTTCTGCGTCCACACATTTTTCTTTGTGACCTTACAGTTTTTACTAGACACCCTGTTTATTTATCCATCCCATTGATGTTGGACAATGTGACTTGCTTTGGCCAATGGCATGTTTGAAGATGTGATATTAGCAAAGGCTCAAAATATGCTTTGAGGTTGGGCTTTCCCTCTTGGGTTTCTTATCATTTCCATGAGATAAACATGCCTCAGGGAGCCTCTGATCTAAGGAGACAATCAGGACAGACCTAAGCCCCATTTACAGCTTGGAAGCAAGTCCAGTAGAAACCATCCTAGATCTCCCAGACTCAGCCAACCTGCAGACTCATGAACATGACAATAAACGTTCATTGTTGAATGGCACTGAGTTGGGAGTCATTTGGTAACCACCATTATTGGCAATGGATAGTTGAGTATTTCATCTAGCATCCCTGATTCCTCCCAGCTGTTGCTGTGAACGTGGACGTAAAAAGGAGAGAACGCTGTAGAAATCTGAACAGGATTTGTCTTCAAGACAAACATGGGCTGCAAGAGTTTCTTCAGCCAGCAAAATGACGCAGTTTGTTAAAGGAGAACTACAGGATAAATACCTTCAACATGTAGCATGATGCTTGAAGCAGCATGGTTTAACTCCCTCATTTTCCACACCTTTTGTTCAGTATACAAGATAGAAATGTTTCTAAAGTGTGGAGTTTTTTTGTTTTTTTCCCATTCTTTTTTTTAAATTATTATTATTATACTTTAAGTTTTAGGGTACGTGTGCACAACGTTCAGGTTAGTTACATATGTATACACGTGCCATGTTGTTGTGCTGCACCCATTAACTCATCATTTAGCATTAGGTATATCTCCTAATGCTATCCCTCCCCCGTCCCCCCACCCCACAACAGTTCCCGGTGTGTGATGTTCCCCTTCCTGTGTCCAAGTGTGGAGATTTTTGCTATGCAAAGGGATCTGTAAGAAATCCAAAATTGTGTGAGCCAGGCCTGTGATCCGTCAAGTTCGGTGCTGTGTACTGTTTTTTGAAACAATAGGAAGGTCTGTTTTTTGTGAGAGCACAGAATTGCCCTCTGGGAATGTCAGCCTCAGGGAGCTGGCAAAGCTAACCTTTATTGAGCACTCACTGTGGGTCAGAGCACTAAGCTAAGCACTTCCCAGACACTAAAAAACATAACCCTTCCTATTCAACACCACTCTCCACCCTCTTTTTCTTGTAAGCAAACCCTGACTTAATTTGGGTGGTCGTCATGCTTAGGAAACATGGCCCCTCTCTCTTTCCAAGGAACAAACTATGATTGGCCTAAACTAATGTCAATAATTCCATTCCCCTTTGTCTGTAACTGGTTTAAGAGCTATATGAGGGGCTCAGTTCTGACTAATGTCTTCAGGGAAATTCTCTTTCTCTGTCTCATATTGTTATGTAAAGAGGACACTGACAAGAAAGATGCAAAGAAACCTGGTCCTTCATGAGCTTTTTAAACCCTTTAAATTTTCTTTAGACTTTTTAATGAGTGAGATAATAAATCTCTTTATTATTTAAGCTTTATTGTTACTCTCAGCTGATCTGGTAGATAATATTATTGTATGCTATTTTACTGATTTATATACTAAAGTTTGGAGGATGGATTAACCTCCTCCAGTTACAAAATTCGGAATTGAGATGGAGACCTAGGAAGTCTGACTTTAGAACCTAGACTCTTAACTACCATGGTAGATACTTCTACAACTTATAAGGCAGATATGAGTAGTTTCTCTCTCCTTTTAACCACAGTGTAATATAAATAGTCCTAATTTCCCTAGAAACTAGATTGTGGTATGTACTCCAGTCTCTTGTCAGCTCATAACTCACTTGAGGCCTGCCACAGTGGGAAGGACAGTGTTTTGATTTGAATAGACATATCTTTTAACAGCCAGTTCTACCAATTACTACGTACGTAACCGTGGGAAAGTCTCTTATCTCTTCTGAAATACAAGGTCCTAATATGTAAATGGAGAAATAATAATAATGTCAAAGCTTTTTATGTCACATACTCTTCTCAGGGTTTTACATTTTTAATGCATTCACTGTCATATTAACCCCTAGGAGCCGGGTTACTATTATCTCCACTTTATAGCTGGGTAATCTGAGTCAGAGAAGTGTTAAGTAGTTGTTCAACATTTTCCAGCTAGTAAGTGAGTGAACCAGAATTTAAACTAGGCAGTTTGACCCCAGAGCCTACATATTTAACCACCACAGTAAGCTGTCTTAAAGAGGTATTGCAAAGATTAAATGAAATCATATATCTAAGTCCCTGTCACAGCGGTAATCAATAGTAGTTAACACACATATGGTTATTCTGAAATTCTACTATATTCCCTTTCTATGCCCTAAATAACTCTTTTAGTCTTAAAAGACAGCATTCTAATTCTGTGGTCTGTGATTTAGTAAACTTCTTTTTGGCTGCATTGATTCTATAAACTTTAATCATATTCATTTTTGTCTCTAACCTTCTAGAACTGAAAAGCTCTTTTCCATCATGAATAAATGAGTTCTAATTGCATCTAAGAATCAGGGCTCCTTTAACTCACCTTTTTTGATATAAGAGAGATATGGAGAAAAACTACCCAGAACCAGCTTTATAATAACCACATCTGGGTTACAGTCAGTAGCCTTTGGCAGGTCAAACCCTCCCATATGTGCTGATCCATGCTCTTCCCTGCCTGGCTGGCCAGAATGAAAGTGATCCTGGTGGTGACCTTGGAAGCCACGCACTGAAGAAGGCAGAGCTTCTGTTAGTTTGAGTCCCTGATTAACTCCATGGAAAAAGGTCACCCTGATGACTTGTTCCCCTGCCCAGTAAATTATGTGAACAAGAGGCACACTTATAAAGTATTAGAGCCAAGAATTAAATGCCTTTGGCATCATTATTTTCATTACTTTTCACATTAATATAAGAGATAAGGCTTACACCTCTTGAATGGTAAATAAGAAAATGCATCATGATGAAATTGCCAGCTTCTGACTCAGTGAGTTCTGTTATCAAGTAAAACACTGACAGAGGCAGAGTCTCAAAGGAAGACAACTTAAAATTATCACCCACACATTGAGAAGAACATCTTCCTTAGAAGCTCTTATTTGAACCCTTTCTTGATAGCACAGTACGTTTCTCTAAATTCTATCACACAAAAGAAAAAAGCCTTCAGATTGCTTTAGTTATGCTACAAAAATGGTGAGGTTTTTTTTTTCTTTTTGAAAAACAAGACAAATGACCTTCTGTTCATTTAAGCTCTACTTTATGCTTCATATAAAGCAAAGGCTTTCATTGAAATCTGGCTGATCGCCTTAAACGCAATTTCAGAAAAAGAATTTGGAAGCTCAGATCCAAAAAATGTTTAAGGAGAGACACTCTCAGCACAATCCAGATTTCATGGAAAATGCAGGTGTTTGCAGAGAAGACTGCGGAAATGATGCCTCAGGATGGCAAGAAGCACCCACCTCACCCTATTTCCTTCTCCGTCATCTCTGGGCCCTCAGATATAGTGACTGAGACACACCAGTGTAAATATATAATCTTCATGAGTCAGTTTATCTTCCAGATATGTATCTTCCCTGTTCTATAAAAATAAACACCAGCATACCCCCAATTCTCTCTCACTTCAGATAAAATCACTGAGCTTTAGGTCTCTAATGATATCTATTGTTGTAAGCAACAGGATTTAAAGGAAGTTTCATTTTATTTTCACCTCAGGGCACTGTAAACAGATTTGCATTTTAAAAAACATCTTTTTGCCTTTCAATTTGTTTGGGGTAAAAATCCTCTTCCAAATTTTGCTGGAGTTAAATTCCACACTTCAGTGCCTCCCTTTTGTATACAAAGACTTCAACCACCATTACCGATACAGTGACAACTATAAAATATGAATAATCACCTTTTCACATTTTTGTAGAAATTTTAACAAAGAACAACATGATTTTGCTTCATCAAGATTTCTCTTTCTAGTATTCCCTCATTTCACTGTAGTGGCACCATCTTAGGAAACTAAAAGCAAACTCTTTGACTTTTTTATTGGTTATAACTATTCCTATTATTCTTTATAGCATACAAAGGAGGGGGTAAAGTCACTTTTCAAAGGAGCTGTGTTAGAGATTTCTAGTTGCCATCCAATATCTATTTTCCTAGTGTCCATCAGTAGCAGGACTCCCAATTTGAAGTCACAATGTGTTTTGTTCACCTTCCCCCTTCCTCCTTCCTGTGGCCTGGAATGGCCACTCAAGGGCTGAAGTTCCAGCTAGGAGGTGACCTTGAGCGTGAAAGCCAGGAGCTAGACTAGTAGAGAAGAAAGAAATCCTTGGGTCTCCAAACCACCACACCATCCTGGATCATCTAGATTTTAAATGACAGAAAAAAAGTTCCTAGCTTGTTTAAACCCCTATAATTTAGCGATTTCCATCCTATGCAACCACAATCAACTCTCACTGACATAGCGGCAAATACCGAACACTGGCACTATTGCTTTGTTCTACATCAGTTCTTCAATTGCCTTTCTAAGCTCTGCACCAGCAGGTTGGGAAAAATGTCTTTTGTTTTTTTCAAGTATTTCCCCCAAGGTTCTGTTCCTGAATAAATTGCTGCTTCTCATTCATTCCTCCAAAATTTGAAATAATTTTGCCCCACTTGGCCTCCCCAGGACCAGTATAGAAATATTGGTTTTTATGGAGAATAATTGTACTCAAAGTATTTGCAAAAGTAGGTAACGAAGGAACTTACATAGTGATGCATTTTATTTAAAAATTAGTCCCAATGCTATTGTAGCAGCTACATAATTAAAGTAGGTGTCACCATGAATGTCAATCTATGGTGATTTACAGATACTCTATTATGAAGTTTAGGTTTTTCTCACTTGAATACACATCTTTTTTGTTAATGTTGATATTATAATATGCTAGGGAATTGATGAACAAGGCTTTGGACAATTTCATTCTTCATTTAACTAAATAGCATGACTCAAATTTATTCCAGGTTCTCTCAGACTGTGAAAACTGAAATAAGTAAATAATCCTACATCATTGTTGACCTAGTTTTGTAATGCCAAACTGAATCATACAGATAAGGAATAATGTTGAGCTGGGATTTTTTTGCATTCACAAAAAGAGGTTCTAGGTTAGTGGTTTAAGACACTAAAGTTTTGAATCAACTGAATTAAATTCAAATTGTATCTATGTATGTTGGGTAAATCCAGATAAGTTTTAAATGTATATACATTCCCTTACTATATCTTATGCCCATTGGTACCTATTAAATATCAAATGCACATATGCAAACATGTACAAAGAACAGGAAAGAACAGCTAAGTCAAGCAATAGATGGCATTGGTTATGTTACAAATAGAGAAAAGATAAATAACTTGGAAAATGATTAAATTAAAATTGTAGTAAAAAATTCAAATCATCAAGATGAAGATGCATAAAACACCCGCTTTTTTTCTTGACTATAGACAAAAATAACTGAAAACACTTGAAAAACAAATAGTCCCCACAGCAGAGCGCAGTGGCTCACGCCTGTAATCCCAGCACTTTGGGAGGCCAAGGCGGGCAGATCACAAGATCAGGAGATCGAGACCATCCTGGCTAACACGGTGAAACCCCGTCTCTACTAAAAATACAAAAAATTAACCGGGTGTGGTGGTGGGTGCCTGTGGTCCCAGCTACTTGGGAGGCTGAGGCAGGACAATGGCATGAACCTGGGAGGCGGAGCTTGCAGTGAGCTAGATAGCCCCACTGCACTCCAGCCTGGGCCACAAAGGGAGACTCCATCTCAAAAAAAAAAAAAAAAAAAAAAAAAAAGCAAATAGTCCCCTTTTTTTGGAGTGGTAAAGAAAAATTAAGTTGCAAATAAAGGCAATGAAGAGAATCTCCCCCTTCCCTAACAGATTCTATTCTGTGATTTGAGATATATTGCCACTGCATCTTCCAAAGAGAGAGAAAAGATAGGATTTGTAATCATCCTACAGTCTAATTCTAATCTTACCAAGTGAAGGTTATAAAGCTATCTCCTGTTACCTTTTCAAATTAAGGTATTAGAATATAATCTTTAGTTGTATGGCAGGATGGACAAACATTTTCAGCAAAAGTCAGAGAGGAAATATTTTAGGCTTTGTGGGCCGTATGATCTCCGTCATTACTACCCAACTCTCCCAACTCTCCCATTGTAGATGAAAAACAGCCATAGACAATGTGTAAATGAAAGAGTGTGTCTGTATTCCAATAAAAGTTTATTTACAAAAACAGGTAGCAGGCTGGATTTGGCCCATGGGTTATAGTTTGCCAACCCTTACAAGAAGAAGTAATCTCAAGATTTCTTGAAACTTTCACAGTCTACCCTAAAATAATTGAGCATTTACTGTTTTATAAAAGTCTCATTTATTTATTTCTCTGTGATATATAATATGCAGCTTTAGTAAATTCCACTACTATACTATAAACAAGTAAACCCACATACTACAACAGATCTGAAGCAGAATATGTTTTATATATGAAGATAGGCAACAGACTAAACTAGTTAAAGATAAGTGAATATAAGATTTTGGCCCATAACAACCATGTAGCAACAAAAATAGCCTGGCAACAGCTAATTCACACACACACACACACACACACACACTCTCTCTCTCTCTCTCTCTCTCTCTCTCTAAGGAAATCATCTTGCAAAATACACGTTACCCATAAAATAATATTTGGGACATCTAATTTATAACTATGCAAATTAATCTCTGAAAATACTTGAGAAATTCTGTGAATAGCACTTCTCATTAGCATTATTTGTAAATGCAAAACTGCACCAAGCATATACAGATAACAGCCTAGCTCTCATTACATATAGCTAAGACCTGTTCTCTAGGATTTCCCTATACATTTCCAAGGGTAGTATAGTTACCCAAAATATGCTGAGTTCCTACTACGTGATAGAAAATCTAATGGAATCTATTATTAGATTTCTGCCTTCTGTGCCAACATATGAAATTTGGCAATGTAGTAAATCAGCAGCTTATGGTATCATTTAGTGCCTGGTTACTCAGCGTGTGGTCCATAGACCAGCAGCATCAACATTGCTTGGAGCTTCTTAGAAATACAGAATCTTGGACCCCACTCCAATCCTACTGTATCAGAGGGTACCTTAGGTACCAGAAGCCCAGGGGGTTTTGTGCACATTGGAGTTATGTGGGATCTATTAGCGCCACAGTCAGGTAGGTGATTCTCTAGTGTCCCGGCATCCTGGTTCCAGCTTCCTTAGGAACTAATTTCTTATCAAAGAATATCTTGGCATTGCAGAAAATTTGACTATTTTATTATACATAAAATAATCACAGTGCCTTCTAGGCATGTATATCAAGCCTCGTTTCCAAAGATGTTTATGCTTTACAGAATAGCTGAGACCAACTCTGTTTACTGGAGTAACATGCTGAGCTTTGATGGGCTATTGAGGTCAGGCAAAAATATCTACGTTGATACCACATTGCATGGGAAACATACTAATCACTTAGTTATTCATGTTAGAATATCGTTTGAGGTGCTGTGGTGGAAATTAAGATTGAACAACATGACAAAGCTAACACACTGCCTAATTTCTATACTCAGAGAGTTAATTTATCTTAATGCCTTCCCTTTTTTATGCCTGAATGTTGAGAGAATTGACTTTTTGGCCTCACAGTACAATGACCAGTGCTACTTAGAAAAATGGCACTACAGGATTGTAAGTTGATAACACTTGATATTTGAATTTTAAACATGAGACTGTTTACGTAATTATTTGTCTCATTTACACATATTTAATTTTTGATCTTTCATTTAGTTGAAGGCTTTTATATATTTTAATGAGACCAGTTATTATTTTGGTCTAGTTTTGGAAGCATACATATGCATGCTTCCAAATATATACATATATATATGTATATATGTTTAGTAATAAAATAGATCCAGGGGAAGGATGCAGAGGATAATGTTGGTCACTGCTTTCCTGCTGCCAAGACTTAGCTGTAAAGTTGTTTAACAGGTTTGGGTTCTCAAGAATGTACAATAAAATCTACAGATAAAGGTTAGACAAGCACTGCAGTACTCACAGAAAAAAATATGTTTTACATTTAGAAAATAGTTGCTTTGTATGATGATGATGTAAATTTGTACGCAAACACACATGTGTGTGTCTATATGTCAATATGTTCATGTTTAAAAATGCCAACAAATTGCTTATTTGGAA
Source organism: Homo sapiens (assembly GCF_000001405.40). Classification (NCBI taxonomy): domain Eukaryota; kingdom Metazoa; phylum Chordata; class Mammalia; order Primates; family Hominidae; genus Homo; species Homo sapiens. Next base: position 8,121,658 of record NC_000020.11, on the reverse strand, counting down.
AAATATTTGTCTTTATTTTTTAAAACACTGAACTAATAAGAGTAATGTCATAGATTCATTGTTTCCAACGTTTAGGTTTTATTTCCATCAAATTATACCAACAACTTTTAAGAATCAAATAAATCTACAAAGATACTTATAAATAGAAGCAGCTTTTTATCCTACACCTACACAACTTCCCTCTCTTTAGGTGCAAATACTTTTAATTATTCTAGCTGATTCTTTGGCATTTAGCTATATATTGCAAAATAATATACTGCTGATTACTGATGCACTCTGTTCATTATCTGTTGCCTTCTCGGTATAGAAGACGACAAATGTCTTTTTTCACCATCCTCTCCCTCTTTCTCCTGCCCTTATAATACCATCATAAAGATGGATTTATCTTCATTTTGGCTAGCTCAATATTTCATGTTCACATTGTAATTATTAGATATGATATATAATTATAATACTATATATAGTTCCTTAGTATTATATAAGGGTATATATATTATATATATATTATATATACTTATTTATAAATATATATATATATTTACAGGTGAGTCTGAATTATGCAGTTGCCATAATTACCTTTCGTTTCCTGTATATTTTGTTCTGCACGCTTTGTTTTATCATTTGATCATCTCCTTTTGTCCTTACCACTAATTCAAGGCAGAGTTAGCCTCCTTGTGATAAATGCAAACAGGTTGAATATTCTTTCAATCTCTCCTTCTGGACGAGGTCTTTTCTGGAGACTTCTGCCCTGCTCCAGTGTGGATTCCCTTTGTCCTCTGGGTCTCTGCACCACTATCTTCTGGAGGTCCCCTTCATCATCAGGCTGAGAATTCCCTTCGTCTCGTGGCTCTATTGGAACTCCTAATTCTTGCCTTCATTTTTGCTCAACCCAACAAGATTTCATGGGTTTTATCTTTATATGGCTTCCTGAGAAATTGTGCAAGGGAAGTAAAATATTTGAAAGCTGACGGGTACCAAAATGCCTTTATTCTGCCCTTCATGATTAATTGATACACTGGCCAAACAGAAACATTCTAGTTTAGAAATCATATTCTCTCAAAATTTGGAAGGCTTTCTTTCTCCCATTGTCTTTTAGCAATATTGCTTTTGAAAAGTCTAGTTGTATTCCTTGATCCTCCATATGAAAACTTGTTTGGTTTTTGTGGGATTTTATACCTGGAAATTTATTGCTATTCCTCTTTGTCCCCAGAGTTCTGATTTTATGTGAGTTTTGGACTGTGGTTTGGGTTATTTTCATTCACTATGCTGAACATTAATTAGGCTCTTTTAATTTAGAAAATCATGACTTACAATTCTGGGAAATGTTCTAGAATTATTTCATTGCTTACTTCTTCTCCTTCATTTTCTTTCTCATGTTTTGGATATCAGACCTCCTAGATTGGTCCTCTAATTTTATTATATATTCTTTCCTGTCTTCCATGTTTTTATCTTTTTGCTATACCCTCTACGGCATCTTCTAACTTTATCTTTCAACTCTTCTGCTTCAGTTTTCCTCTCTGCTATCATGTATTTAATTTTGAAGAACTGTTTTTGTTCTCTGAATGATCATTTTTATAGCACCCTAGTCTCATTTCGAGTTGTCTCCATAATGTTGATCTACTTTGTATATTTTTAAAGTCTTCTGAAGGCTGGTCTTTGTCTCACCTGGTCTTTGCTCCACCTGGTTGCTCCCTGCTGCTTGCTTTGCCTCTGATTTTCATCATGTCATCACGATGTCAAGTGTCAATTAGACACTTCCCATAAATATCTGATGATTTTTTGGCTGCCGGTTTATTTTTCAAAAAGTGAAACAACAGAAAAATGCTGATTGAAAGCTTAAGGTGCATAGACAGGGCTCATTACATGTGGCTTATACTGTAGGATAATCAGACTGGGCTTTTGGATGAGTAACTTCCATATCCATATTTTTAGTTTTTTTTCTCTTATGTCGGTCATATTCCCTAGCAAAGATTCTTCCATGGATTAAGATACTGGTGTGTTTTAAAGTGTGACTTCTGGCTATCATTATTTATAGAATTTTTACTACATGTTTACTTTACGAATGCTACCTGATTGTATTATTTACAACAATCTTTTAAGGTAAGCAACATTATTATCTCCAATTTAAAGGTGAGGAAAATAAGGTTTTGGGAGGTAAACCCTTATCAATGTCATATAATTAGTAAGGTAGGAGCCAGGATTTAACCCCAAATTTTAGCTTTCTCCAACATAAGATTTAAACATTATTGTTATTATTTTAAAATGCTATAAATATTCTACTTAAATAAATACATGAATTCAGTGAATAGGAGGTTAAAATAGACAATTAGTAACATTGGAGAGATAAAAGCCAAAACAGAACTCTTAAATCCAAGGCTTGTACAAGATTTTAATCTCTACACAGAGCATGTAGATTGGCACGGGCCTTTGGACTCAAAAGCAATTCAGCAGGCAAACAGAAAGAAAAATTGAGAGAAACAAGGATTTTAATTCAAACTCTGGAAAATGAACTGCTGAAGTAGCAGTAGTTTGCCCATGTAACTCTTGCTACATACATAATGCATACAATATTCTGATGCTTTAAATCATGACTAGAACTAGTAAAAACATTGCAAATTGAAGCATAACATGTAAGATTATTTTCTCACTTCATGACTGGTTAGAAAATGTTCAACTCCTCTAAATGCATGACTGCTACATTTCATAACTTCAAATCTTATCTTGGGAGTGACCGTGGCTGAGAAGCTGCCTTGGCTGTATTCTGAAATATCTGAAAGAATCAGTGGGGTTATAGCTTTCTTAATTATATAATTTTACATTTTTCTGCAGTGATTTAAGTGATTCCATTGTCATTATTCATTTCATTTTCACCATAATATTCTTTAATCCTATTTTCTCTGCATGCAATTTATGCAAGCAAAAATTTTGTTATTAACAAGGCCAGACAAGAAAATATTATTGTAATTGATCTAAATTCCTCTTTAGAACTCCATGTTTAAATGAAGAAATTGTCTACAGCTGCAGAAGCGAAGAATTGTAAGTACTCCTCCCCCCCCACATACTATTTTGGTGTTTACAAATACGAGTAAATGTGCTATACAACTACCCTTTGTATTAGGGACCATGTTTCCAAATATGAGTAGGTAAAGATAACTTTCCTTCCTTTAAAAATATAAGCAAGTAAGACAAAAATTAAAAAAGACATAAATGTATTCTGTAAATTAAATCAAATATGTAAAATAAATAGCAACTTAATTCTCCTGTGATAAGGATGGCTGAGAAGGGGATCACACCACCAGTTATTGTGTCTGATTTGTTTGCTCAAGTGGCACAAATGGGATGTTTCAGATATTAGAAAATGTATGTCAGCCAAACTTGTACATTCATAAAAATAGTTGGCAAGTCTTATAGATCCCTCTAAGTACAAATTTGGCTTGCTCTACACAGCCTGCCGGTTATGGTGGCATGCTGCTGCAGCAGTGTCCAGATTTCTGAAGCCTTCCAGATGTTTATAAGCCTTTGACTTCTGCTCATAAGGAAATTCAAGTAGAATAGTATGGTAGACTGAATGCAAAAGTGGCCCTAATTCTCCTCCTTTCCCTGTATCTACACCTTTTGCAATGTAATTTTGCACCTACTCCCATTCAGCAGTCGAGTCTTTTTGGCTGCTTCTTTAATCTGGGCTGGTCTTGTAACTGATTTGTTCAGAAGGATGGTGCCAAAGTGAAATAGGTCAATTCTGAGACTATGCCTCAACCATGCCCAGGGACCATAAGGATATAAGCCCTAGCGAGCCTGCTGGAGGGATGTGAGAAACCAAAGAAGAAAAGCTTAGTCATTTCAGCTGATCCTAATCTAGACCTGCTTAAGGCCAGCCCACTCCCAAATATGTGAGAGAGCCCAGCCAAGTTCAAGGGAGCTGCCTTTCCACCCCACATCTGACTGCAGATGTGTGAGTGTGCTCAGCCAATACCAAAAGACTGGTCCATCTGACCCATGTACTCATTAGCGGTAATAAATGTCTGTTGTCTTAAACCACTGAGTTTTGGGGTGGTTATAACACAGCATTGTCATAGCAATAGATAAAAGATATGCATATGGATATCACTAATTATTAAACCAAAATCTCACTAAGCCTTAAAAGACTTTTTTGTTTGTTTTCCATTAGTTCTTTGGTGTTCTTTCTCTTTGCAAATCCAGAGTTTGCTTCTACTTTACCAAAGTTATTCAGGTCATGACTTTCATATGTTCTTTGTTGAAATTCTGAAACCTTCCATTTTTATAGACTGGGATCCTGACTCTAATATTAGTCAGGGGTAACAAACACTATTTAAGTAACATGAAAATAAATTGACGTATCACCTACAGTAACTTCAGGAGCAACTTTCATTTTTATGACTTGATTTTTTTAAGTACTTATTCTTTTCTTTTAGTTTCTGAGAAAATTCTGGAGGTAAATATTCTCATCATACCTATTTCTTACATAGGAAATTTGAATCTTAAAAGAAGTAAGTGACTTTTCCATTTTCATGCAACTTTTCATAAAATTAAAGACCTTTCCTTTAGTCTAGTGTAAAGACATACCTTGTGAGTCCCAGGCACTATTCAGCAGAAAACAAAAGACAAATGTACATGTTTTCAGATACTTAGTATTAATATTTATATTTGATAACTGTATGCTATATGGTTATACTATCTCATAATTTGGTGGCACTTGTGAGATTTCCAAACCCTGAGGATGTAGGAAGGGAAGTTAAATGTCTCTCTCCATAGAAGGAAATACCAAAGTTTAGAGGGGCTAATGAGGTCACCAGGATCATACAATGATGGAACCAGATATGGTTCATCCCAGTTTTTAGACACAAATACCAGAAGCCTGAGTCTGGCCCTTTACTTGAAAGAGATTTATTCAGGTCATTTCCTTAACATTCTCTGTGTACAAGTTGCACACTAATGTAGCTGAGATCATCATGGCCCAAGAGGAAAAGCCATGCCAAATAAGTTAAAGGGAAGTCTACTGCTGGCTTAACTCGAGTGAGCAGTGTTAAGACTTTGCAAGTTAGAACTCACTGTGATACACTACACAGAAGAATCTATTCATGAACAAATAGACCAAACTGATTCATTGGCTTCTACTGTGTGTGTTGTTGGAGTTCATAGTCAGAACAATCTTTGAATCAGTATTTTGTTCTCTCAAAAAGGAGGGGTAAGTGCACTGTCACATTCAATTAATGAAGAATACGCTTTGATGCTAGCAGTGTGGCTAGATCGAGCCTGTACTTATTGTGCACAGCATATGCTAGTTGTTCTCTGGAAGGTCTTGGACACAAAATTACAGCCTGCAACCCTCTGCGATACAGGATTGTAGCCACAACTGACAGTTGCACACCATGAAAGTGGGAAGTTAAACCTTGGACCCCATCTGGTTATGCTTCTTAACGAGAACAAGTTACTCTTCCAAAGATTGGCAGCAGCCCAGTTAGCACACCAGGTCCTTCCAAGGACATCAGCTTCCTCAGTCTCCAATCAAGCATAGGCCAAGTAGTCAAGTGAATTTTGACTTCTATCACTAAGGCTTGAGGTAGCAAACTCTCCACGTTGAAGGTCTTCTGTTGACCCCGTCCTTCTCTACCCTGCTGTCTGCCCTAGCCTTTGGGATGCTAAGCTGAATGAATATCTCAAGGTACCAGGGGTACCTTGCTCTCTTTCTTCTGGTGGCTTCAGCCAAAGGGTACATCAGGATGAGATGGGAGGAAGGAAGGAGTGTGATGTCAGAGTATTTATTCCTTTGGCTCCCTGCCGGCTGGATCTCAGTAAATCTGCTGGTCCTATCTACTGTCAAGCTCCAGTCAAGTTGCCCTCACAGCTCTCTCCACAGGTTCTGGGAGCCACTTCTTTTCACTTCTTCAGGTTTAGGAGTGGTAGTAGCTCCCTGATGTTATTATGTGGCTCAGGCAGGGTCCTGCATCCCTTGTTTTTTCACTCTAAACTTTGTAATAGTTCTTTTATCAACCTTCATCAATCACCCAGCTTGAATGTGTCATCTGCTTCCTGCCAAGACCCCTGATGCACACTCTGTTGGATGGCATCTCACTAGACCCACTCCAGGCTTTTGTGTTCACTTATTTAAAAGCAGATGTGATGTGTTGATTGCATTTCAAAGAGCAATCTACATACTGTATTGAAAAGCACAAGAACTTGGTTTTCATCCCTGCCATATGTGACTTAGCTTTGAGACCACAGACAACTAAATTCTATTTTGAAAACTTTTTTTGGGAAAAATCATCTGATCTATGCCAGGCACTGGCTAGGACCTGCAAATAAAAAAAAATGTAATACAAGATATTCATCTTCATCTAGCTCCTAATCTTAACAGGTGAGATAGAGATAAAAACAAAGATATCTTGTACAATATGATAAAAGCTATGTGGTGGTATGTATAAATGTTATATTTACTCACAGTGACCTTCAGTTTTCCTGTCAATTTTCATGAAATGAGATACGCAGTGATTAGATGATACAAGTGAAAATATTTTGAAATATTTAAGAATATTTAACAGTAAAGTTATTACTACTAGAAGTATTACTATCATGTTATGTTATTATGTTACTTGCTTTACTCTTTACTGATTTAAAATGAATTAGTTATAGTGTTTGTTTCTGACAGTTATCAGCAACTTAGACATTATTGTCCTCGAGGAAAAATTTTGTTTAGCATGGGTTTATAGAAATAAGAATGAAGAGAGGAGCCAAGATGGCCGAATAGGAACAGCTCCGGTCTACAGCTCCCAGCGTGAGCGGCGCAGAAGACGGGTGATTTCTGCATTTCCATCTGAGGTACCGGGTTCATCTCACTAGGGAGCACCAGACAGTGGGCGCAGGTCAGTGGGTGCGCGCACCGTGCACGAGCCGAAGCAGGGTGAGGCATTGCCTCACTCGGGAAGCGCAAGGGGTCAGGGAGTTCCCTTTCTGAGTCAGAGAAAGGGGTGACAGACGGCACCTGGAAAATCGGGTCACTCCCACCCGAATACTGCGCTTTTCCAACGGGCTTAAAAAACGGCGCACCAGGAGATTACATCCCTTACCTGGCTCGGAGGGTCCTACGCCCACGGAGTCTCGCTGGTTGCTAGCACAGCAGTCTGAGATCAAACTGCAAGGCGGCAGCGAGGCTGGGGGAGGGGCGCCCGCCATTGCCCAGGCTTGATTAGGTAAACAAAGCAGCCCGGAAGCTCGAACTGGGCAGAGCCCACCACAGCTCAAGGAGGCCTGACTGCCTCTGTAGGCTCCACCTCTGGGGGCAGGGCACAGACAAACAAAAAGACAGCAGTAACCTCTGCAGACTTAAATGTCCCTGTCTGGCAGCTTTGAAGACAGCAGTGGTTCTCCCAGCACGCAGCTGGAGATCTGAGAATGGGCAGACTGCCTCCTCAAGTGGGTCCCTGACCCCTGACCCCCGAGCAGCCTAACTGGGAGGCACCCCCCAGCAGGGGCACACTGACACATCACACGGCCGGCCTGGTACTCCAACAGACCTGCAGCTGAGGGTCCTGTCTGTTAGAAGGAAAACTAACAAACAGAAAAGACATCCACACCAAAAACCCATCTGTACATCACCATCATCAAAGACCAAAAGTAGATAAAACCACAAAGATGGGGAAAACACAGAGCAGAAAAACTGGAAACTCTAAAACGCAGAGCGCCTCTCCTCCTCCAAAGGAACGCAGTTCCTCACCAGCAACAGAACAAAGCTGGACGGAGAATGACTTTGACGAGCTGAGAGAAGAAGGCTTCAGATGATCAAATTACTCTGAGCTACGGGAGGACATTCAAACCAAAGGCAAAGAAGTTGAAAACTTTGAAAAAAGTTTAGAAGAATGTATAACTAGAATAACCAATACAGAGAAGTGCTTAAGGGAGCTGATGGAGCTGAAAACCAAGGCTCGAGAACTACATGAAGAATGCAGAAGCCTCAGGAGCCGATGCGATTAATTGGAAGAAAGGGTATCAGCAATGGAAGATGAAATGAATGAAATGAAGCGAGAAGGGAAGTTTAGAGAAAAAAGAATAAAAAGAAACGAGCAAAGCCTCCAAGAAATATGGGACTATGTGAAAAGACCAAATCTACGTCTGATTGGTGTAACTGAGAGTGACAGGGAGAATGGAACCAAGTTGGAAAACACTCTGCAGGATATTATCCAGGAGAACTTCCCCAATCTAGCAAGGCAGGCTAACATTCAGATTCAGGAAATACAGAGAATGCCACAAAGATACTCCTCAAGGAGAGCAACTCCAAGACACATAATTGTCAGATTCACCAAAGTTGAAATGAAGGAAAAAATGTTAAGGGCAGCCAGAGAGAAAGGTCGGGTTACCCTCAAAGGGAAGCCCATCAGACTAACAGCGGATCTCTTGGCAGAAACTCTACAAGCCAGAAGAGAGTGGGGGCCAATATTCAACATTCTTAAAGAAAAGAATTTTCACCCTAGAATTTCATATCCAGCCAAACTAAGCTTCATAAGCAAAGGAGAAATAAAATACTTTACAGACAAGCAAATGCTGAGACATTTTGTCACCACCAGGCCTGCCCTAAAAGAGCTCCTGAAGGAAGCGCTAAACATGGAAAGGAACAACTGGTACCAGCTGCTGCAAAATCATGCCAAAATGTAAAGACCATCGAGACTAGGAAGAAACTGCATCAACTAACGAGCAAAATAACGAGCTAACATCATAATGACAGGATCAAATTCAACATAACAATATTAACTTTAAATGTAAATGGACTAAATGCCCCAATTAAAAGACACAGACTGGCAAAATGGATAAAGAGTCAAGACCCATCAGTGTGCTGTATTCAGGAAACCCATCTCATGTGCAGAGACACACATAGGCTGAAAATAAAAGGATGGAGGAAGATCTACCAAGCAAATGGAAAACAAAAAAAGGCAGGGGTTGCAATCCTAGTCTCTGATAAAACAGACTTAAAACCAACAAAGATCAAAAGAGACAAAGAAGGCCATTACATAATGGTAAAGGGATCAATTAAACAAGAAGAGCTAACTATCCTAAATATATATGCACCCAATACAGGAGCACCCAGATTCATAAAGCAAGTCCTGAGTGACCTACAAAGAGACTTAGACTCCCACACATTAATAATGGGAGACTTTAACACCCCACTGTCAACATTAGACAGATCAACGAGACAGAAAGTCAACAAGGATACCCAGGAATTGAACTCAGCTCTGCACCAAGCAGACCTAATAGACATCTACAGAACTCTCCACCCCAAATCAACAGAATATACATTTTTTTCAGCACCACACCACACCTATTCCAAAATTGACCACATAGTTGGAAGTAAAGCTCTCCTCAGCAAATGTAAAAGAACAGAAATTATAACAAACTATCTCTCAGACCACAGTGCAATCAAACTAGAACTCAGGATTAAGAATCTCACTCAAAACCGCTCAACTACATGGAAACTGAACAACCTGCTCCTGAATGACTACTGGGTACATAACGAAATGAAGGCAGAAATAAAGATGTTCTTTGAAACCAACGAGAACAAAGACACAACATACCAGAATCTCTGGGACGCATTCAAAGCAGTGTGTAGAGGGAAATTTATAGCACTAAATGCCCACAAGAGAAAGCAGGAAAGATCCAAAATTGACACCCTAACATCACAATTAAAAGAACTAGAAAAGCAAGAGTAAACACATTCAAAAGCTAGCAGAAGGCAAGAAATAACTAAAATCAGAGCAGAACTGAAGGAAATAGAGACACAAAAAAACTTTCAAAAAATTAATGAATCCAGGAGCTGGTTTTTTGGAAAGGATCAAGAAAATTGATAAACCGCTAGCAAGACTAATAAAGAAAAAAAGAGAGAAGAATCAAATAGACGCAATAAAAAATGATAAAGGGGATATCACCACCGATCCCACAGAAATACAAACTACCATCAGAGAATACTACAAACACCTCTATGCAAATAAACTAGAAAATCTAGAAGAAATGGATAAATTCCTCGACACATACACTCTCCGAAGACTAAACCAGGAAGAAGTTGAATCTCTGAATAGACCAATAACAGGCTCTGAAATTGTGGCAATAATCAATATCTTACCAACCAAAAAGAGTCCAGGACCAGATGGATTCACAACCGAATTCTACCAGAGGTACAAGGAGGAACTGGTACCATTCCTTCTGAAACTATTCCAATCAATAGAAAAAGAGGGAATCCTCCCTAACTCATTTTATGAGGCCAGCATCATCCTGATACCAAAGCCGGGCAGAGACACAACCAAAAAAGAGAATTTTAGACCAATATCCTTGATGAACATTGATGCAAAAATCCTCAATAAAATACTGGCAAACCGAATCCAGCAGCACATCAAAAAGCTTAGCCACCATGATCAAGTGAGCTTCATCCCTGGGATGCAAGGCTGGTTCAATATATGCAAATCAATAAATGTAATCCAGCATATAAACAGAACCAAAGACAAAAACCACATGATTATCTCAATAGATGCAGAAAAGGCCTTTGACAAAATTCAACAACCCTTCATGCTAAAAACTCTCAATAAATTAGGTATTGATGGGACATATCTCAAAATGATAAGAGCTATCTATGAAAAACCCACAGCCAATATCATACTGAATGGGCAAAAACTGGAAGCATTCCCTTTGAAAACTGGCACAAGACAGGGATGCCCTCTCTCACCACTCCTATTCAACATAGCGTTGGAAGTTCTGGCCAGGGCAATTAGGCAGGAGAAAGAAATAAAGGGTATTCAATTAGGAAAAGAGGAAGTCAAATTGTCCCTGTTTGCAGATGACATGATTTTATATCTAGAAAACCCCATTGTCTCAGCCCAAAATCTCCCTAAGCTGATAAGCAACTTCAGCAAAGTCTCAGGATACAAAATCAATGTACAAAAATCACAAGAATGCTTATACACCAACAACAGACAAACAGAGAGCCAAATCATGAGTGAACTCCCATTCACAAATGCTTCAAAGAGAATAAAATACCTAGGAATCCAACTTACAAGGGATGTGAAGGACCTCTTCAAGGAGAACTACAAACCACTGCTCAAGGAAATAAAAGAGGATACAAACAAATGGAACATTCCATGCTCATGGGTAGGAAGAATCAATATGGTGAAAATGGCCATACTGCCCAAGGTAATTTATAGATTCAATGCTATCCCCATCAAGCTACCAATGACTTTCTTCACAGAATTGGAAAAAACTACTTTAAAGTTCATATGGAACCAAAAAAGAGCCCGCATTGCCAAGTCAATGCTAAGTCAAAAGAACAAAGCTGGAGACATCACACTACCTGACTTCAAACTATACTACAAGGCTACAGTAACCAAAACAGCATGGTACTGGTACCAAAACAGAGATATAGATCAATGGAACAGAATAGAGCCCTCAGGAATAACGTTGCATATCTACAACTATCTGATCTTTGACAAACCTGAGAAAAGCAATGGGGAAAGGATTCCCTATTTAATAAATGGTGCTGGGAAAACTGGCTAGGCATATGTAGAAAGCTGAAACTGGATCCCTTCCTTACACCTTATACAAAAATCAATTCAAGATGGATTAAAGACTTAAACATTAGACCTAAAACTATAAAAACCCTGGAAGAAAACCTGGGCTTTACCATTCAGGACATAGGCATGGGCAAGGACTTCATGTCTAAAACACCAAAAGCAATGGCAACAAGAGCCAAAATTGACAAATGGGATCTAATTAAACTAAAGAGCTTCTGCACAGCAAAAGAAACTGCCATCAGAGTGAACAGGCAACCTACCATCAGAGTGAACAGGCGACCTACAAAATGGGAGAAAATTTTCGCAACCTACTCATCTGACAAAGGGCTAATATCCGGAATCTACAATGAACTCAAACAAATTTACAAGAAAAAAACAAACAACCCCATCAAAAAGTGGGCGAAGGACATGAACAGACACTTCTCAAAAGAAGACATTTATGCAGCCAAAAAACACATGAAAAAATGCTCACCATCACTGGCCATCAGAGAAATGCAAATCAAAACCACAGTGAGATACCATCTCACACCAGTTAGAATGGCAATCATTAAACAGTCAGGAAACAACAGGTGCTGGAGAGGATGTGGAGAAATAGGAACACTTTTACACCGTTGGTGGGACTGTAAACTAGTTCAACCATTGTGGAAGTCAGTGTGGCAATTCCTCAGGGATCTAGAACTAGAAATACCATGTGACACAGCCATCCCATTACTGGGTATATACCCAAAGGACTATAAATCATGCTGCTATAAAGACACATGCACACATATGTTTATTGCCACATTATTCACAATTGCAAAGACTTGGAACCAGCCCAAATGTCCAACAATGATAGACTGGATTAAGAAAATGTGGCACATATACACCATGGAATGCTATGCAGCCATAAAAAATGATGAGTTCATGTCCTTTGTAGGGACATGGATGAAGCTGGAAATCATCATTCTCAGTAAACTATCGCAAGAACAAAAAACCAAACAATGCATATTCTCACTCATAGGTGGGAATTGAACAATGAGAACACATGGACACAGGAAGGGGAACATCACACTCTGGGGTCTGTTGTGGGGTGGGGGGAGTGGGGAGGGATAGCATTGGGAGATATACCTAATGCTAGATGATGAGTTAGTGTGTGCAGCGCACCAGCATGGCACATGTATACATATGTAACTAACCTGCACATTGTGCACATGTACCCTAAAACTTAAAGTATAATAAAAAAAAGAAATAAGAACAAATACCTTGAACATCTAATTATATAAATTTAATCTCATATTCAGCAATCAGTATTTGTGATAGACCACAAATATTAAGTCATGAAGTTAGTGGAATCCTGATGATTCTATTGAATAATAAATAACTTCCCAGATAGGAGTTTGAAGATCCTGTATATTGCTTTTATTAGTTGAAATAGTAATTAATAAAATAGTTAATTGGTTGTATTTGAGTAGCTATCCCCGAAGATAAGCTCTTCTGTATCCTTATCTAGCATTACAACTAAAGATATCTGATCCAAAAATAAGAATTGTTTTCAACTCTTAAAATGCACAAAGATTATGTCTGATGCACAGTTTTTGCCTACCCTTTCTTAAAGTAATAAAAATATCTCTTCCTTTTGGAGAACTTAATCCATGTAGTTTAGCAGGGGTTGTTCATCACTTACCTCTTTCTACCTTGTGAACATGAGACCCAGGCCTGAAAAAGCAGAGAATCCCAAACACTTGGTCACAAGGTTTGGCTTAAGATTAGTCATGTGACTCAAGCTAGGCCATTCAGGATCTGCATTGAAATTATTCTGCTGCAACTAACAGAAAAAAACTCCCACATAACCCTGAAGTTAGCACATTGACAGATGAAAATCTTATGCTATTGGTAGCCAACCTGCCAACCATGAGAAGAGAGCTTATCCAAAAGACAGACAGTGAAATACATGATTCAGACATACATGAAGACATATATACCCATGGACTTTCCTAGTACATCAGCGGGGAATGAAAGAATTCTTTCTTTGCTTAAGCAAATTTTATTTAAGTATCTAGCACTGACAAGTCTTGATTATTGCATATTGATATCTAATTTAAAATGAAAAGGACTAAATAAATTAGAAATTTACATTTAAATTAACCTTTTCTCTTAAGAAAATTTAAGGAAAAATGAACTTTGAAATATTCTAATTACAATTTTCAGAGTAATATGAAATAATTTTGCAACTGTAACAAAATAGGAAGCTATAATTAAGAAACGATTCAAGAAAAATAGTTTATGTACATTTGAAATAGAATTACTGAATACGTTTAACTAAAGAGTCAGAAGTAAAACAAATAATTTCATTTCCTAGGACAAAAAGTTATTCATTCATTCAACAAATATTAATCAAATACCTACTATGTGCCTTGTTCTAGTACCATGTACAAGGGGCGTGAGTTATACAAATGAACAACACAGACACAGAATCACATCCTTGCAGAACTGACCTACTAGCTGCAGGGGACAGGCAATAAACACACACATAATGAACAAATGAAAATCAGAGTATGGCAGGCAACAAATAAACATGCAGGGAAATGGACATGGGAAATACTGGGGAAGGAGGCAGATTTTGGAATTAAATGGCACTATCATGTCGGCATCATTGTGAAATTAAGATACAAATAAAGATTTGAGAGAAACAAGGGAGTGGGATCAAGAGGGTATATAGGGGAAATAGAGTTCCAGGGAGAGGGAACACCTTGTGCAGAATTTATCCATAAGGCAGTGGTGTGCTGGGGCACTGGAGAAAGAGCAAAGAGGCTGTATAGCTAGAGTGGAATGAGTGAGGGTGAGAGTAGTGCAAAGTGGAGCCAGAGAGGTTCCAGAGGCAAATCATGAAGGGTTTCATAGGTGAATTCAAGGACTTTGGTTTTGGTTCTCAGAAAAATAGGAAGATTTGCACGAAGAATGTTCTAATCTGACTTATGTTAAACCTGGCTCACTCTGTGGCTATTGTTTTAGGAAGACACCATGAAATGCCCAAACTAATAGCACAAATATAAAGGGAAAAAAAAGAGAAAAATTATTTTAAAAGAAAGTTAAAATCATCAAGGGTCAGTTGAGGAGGGACAATATTTACATAATAGAAGACTCAGAAAGATAACACAGAAATTGGGGGTGGGAAATTGAGAACTAGTAGAAATAACCACAGAAATTATAACAACAATTTTCCATTGACAAATGGGGCAATTTCCATTGCCAAATTAAAATATATGTTGTCTTCCCAAAAGCCTCACTGCTCACCAAAATCTGGATAAATTGAAAGAGATTCATATTTGAAATCAATAAAAAAATGAGTGTGTTGTGTTATTCCCCCAAGATGGTGGACTTGAGGCTTCTAGCGTGCCTTAGCCACTTGCAAAAAGCAAAATCGTGTGTGTGAATCAACTCTGTGAGCTTTAATTCGAGAAGGAAAATGGGAATCCACTGGAATTGTGAAGGGCACCACAGATCCAGGGAGGAAAACGCTAGCAAACAGCCCCCATGATGGCATCTGGCTGAAAAAAGTGAGAAAAGCTTCAGTGTGTGAGAAAGGCAGAGAACTTTCCACTGTAACTCACCTTTCCACTGGGGACTATGCAACCGAGGCCAAGGGAGAACACTTTGTTTCTCCCAAGCCCTGGAGCTAACTTGGGGAGAGGCTCAGAGTTGCTGTGAGGGAAAGACAGTGGGAAAAGCTGCAGACATTTTCCCAAACCCAATATCAAGAGCGGAATGCACCAGTACTGAGGGAGAATCCAGTCAGCAACCACCAAGTGCACAGAGAAGTGTCTAGGGATAGAGCTGGAAAACCTCCTTGGCTCCAAATTCTCTGCATAAGGATGGGGAGTGGCATAAACTCCTAATCTCAGAGAGTGGGTGCTCCAGATGCCTGGAGATCTTCCTGGGCATGGAGCAGAGAGGGTCCTGCTGCACCACAATCTATGTCCATGAAGGGTGAGACAGCTTAGGCTGTTGATCCAGGCAAGCAGGTGCTCCGAATGCCTAGAGATCTTCCTGGGCATGGATCAGCAATGGCCCTGCCGCACCATGATCTATGTCCAAGAAGGGTGGGGCAACTCAGGCTGCTGGTCCAGCCAAGTGGGTGTCCAAATGCCTGGATTTCTGCCTGTGGGTGGAGTGAAGAGTGTTCTGCTGTACCAAAGTCTCAGGGCAACAGCCTAGGGCACCCAGAAATGGCACACGCAGACTAGTTCCAGGTCACCAAGGGGGTCCTGGCTGCAAGTCTCACCACCCAGGAGAAACTACAGCTGTAGCAGTTCTCCTCCCACCCCAAGCTTGTGATGGGGGAGAACACAATTCCATTGCCTACTGGAACATGTTCCACAGTTCCGGCTGTTCAGGCCTCTACCCTGTTCTAGAGCAAGTGCTCCAATCTCTGGCCCAAGACTAAAATCCTTGCACAGCCACACTGCCAGATCACCAAGGAATGGCTGACTTTGTATGCATCTGGATTAAATTGCACCTGTAGTCAAATTGCACAGCCCAAAATAAAACCTGCCAAAAGAAGTGCATAGGGCTATAGAAGCAAAGCCAAAAGACCCTACCCATTCTCTATAGCTGCATCCCCTGTGGGAGGTACAGGAGGGAAAGGGAAAAAAAAAAAAAAACAATATTACAGGTAAAGAAGTACAAAGGAAAAAAATCCTACCCACATGAAAATAATTACAAAAATTAGCAGTGCCAGCATATCCAGATGAGAAGGAACCAGCACAAGAATTTTGGCACCATGAAAAATCTGAATGTAGTGACACCACAAAAGGATCACCCTAAATCTCCAGCAAAAGTCCCTAACCAAAATGAAAACTCAGAACTGACAGATAAATAATTCAAAGCATGTATTTCAAAGAAGCTCAGTAAGATAGAAGACAAGGTTGAAAATCAACACAAAGGAATTTGTAACATAATTCAGGAAATGAAGAAAGAGATAAACATCTTAAAAAGAAATCAATTCGAGCTTCTAGAATTGAATTTTCTTACTTAAGGAATTTCACAATACAACTGAAACCATTGTCAATAGACTGGACCAAGCAGAAAAAAGAATTTCAGAACTTGAAGACTGGCCTTTCAAACTAACCCAGTCAGACAAAAGTAAAGAAAAAAGAAGCTTTTAAAATAAACAAAATCTTCAAGAAATATGGGATTGTGTAAAGCAACCACACTTACAAAATATTGGCACTCCTGAAGGAGAAAGAGAAAATGTAAACAACCTGGAAAACATATTTAAGGTAATAATTCAATAAAGTTTTCCCTTATCTTGCTACAGAGGTAGATGTCCAGATACAAGAAATCCAGAGAATACTTGCAAGATACAATACAAAATAAACATCACTAAGGCATATAGTCACCAGACTATCCAAGGTCAACAATAAAGAAAAAAATCTTAAAGGCAGCTAGAGAAAATGTCAGATCATGTGCAAAGGGAACTCCATCAGACTAACAGCAGGCTTCTCAGCAGAAATCTTACAAGCCAGGAGACATTGGGGGCCTATTTTCAGCATTCTTTAAAAAAAGAAATTTCAACCAGGATTTCATATCTCACCAAACTAAGCCTAATAAGCAAAAGAGAAATAAAATCTTTTACAGACAAGCAAGCACTAAGGGAATTAATTACCACTAGACCAGCTTTCCAAAAAAATCATGAAACGAGTTCTGAACATGGAAATAAAAGAACAATATTTGCTACCATAAAAACACACTTAAGTGCCTAGCATACAGAACTTATAAAGCCACCACACAGTAGGAACTACAAAGCAACCAGCTAACAATCTCACGATAGGATCAAAACTTCACATCAATATTGACATTGAATGTAAATTGTCCAAACACTGCAGTTAAAAGGCACAGAATGGCAAATGGGATTTTAAAAAAAAAAATACCCATCCTTCTGCTGTCTTCAAGAGACCCAGCTCACATGTAACAATATCCATAGGCTCAAAGTAAAGGGTTGGAGAAAGATCTAGCATACAAATGGAAAACAAAAAAGAGCAGGGGTCGCTATTTTTATACTACATAAAACAGATATTAAACCAGCAACAGTAAAAAACAGGATAAAGAAGGGAATTACATAATGATAAACAGTTGAATTCAATAAGAAGACTTCATTATTTTAAGTATATACACAACCAACATTGGAGTACCCAGATTCATAAAATAAGTACTTCTAGACTTATGAAAGGCTTTGACGGCCACACATTAATAGTGGGGGACTTCAACACCCCACTGTCAGTGTTACGTAGATCATCGAGGCAGAAAACTAACAAAGAAATTCTGGACTTAAACTCAACATTTGACCAATTGGCTCTAACATACATCTACAGAACACTCCACCCATCAACCATAGAACATACATTTTTTTATCTGCACATGGAATATATTCCAAGATTTACCATGCTTGGTAAAGACATGCTTGGCCATAAAGCAAGTCTCAATAAGTTAAAAAATATAAAAAGTATACCAAGCAAACTCTCACACCACAGTGAAATAAAAATATAAATCAATACCAAGATAGTCTTTGAAACCCACACAATTACATGGAAATTAAACAAATTTTCTCCTGAATGGCTTATGAGTAACCAATGAAATTAAGGCAGAAATAAAAAAATTTTTTAAATAAAATGAAAATAGAGACACAACATAGCAAAATCTCTATGATGCAGCAGAGCAGTGTTAAGAGGAAAGTTTATAGCAATAAATGCCTGCCTCAAAAAGTTAGAAAGATCTCACATTAATGATCTGACATCACATCTAGAGGAACCAGCAAAACAAGAACAAACTAATCCAAAGTTAGCAGAAGAAAACAAATAACTGGAATCAGAGCAGAACCAAATGAAATTGAGACCCAAAAAATCATACAAAGAATCAACAAAACCAAAAATTGGCT
The DNA here is from genome assembly GCF_000001405.40 of Homo sapiens. NCBI lineage: Eukaryota > Metazoa > Chordata > Mammalia > Primates > Hominidae > Homo > Homo sapiens. The sequence continues at coordinate 8,103,181 of NC_000020.11, read as the reverse complement.
TTTTCAAAGGATAAACAAGAGCAATAGACCACTAGCTAGATTAACAAGAAAAACAGAAGATCCAAATAAGCACAATCAGAAACAGCAAAGGTGATGTTACAATTGATCCCACCAAAATACAAAAGATCCTCAGAGACTATAATGAATACCTCTACACACACAAACCAGAAAATCTAGAGGAAATAAATAAATTCCTGGAAACATCCAACCTTCCAAGATTGAATCAGGAAGACATTGAAACCCTGGGCAGACCAATATCAAGTTCTGAAATTAAATCAGTAATTAAAAAAACCCTACCAACCAAAAAAAGCCCTGGACCAGATGGATTCACAGCCAAATTGTAGCAGACATACAAAGAAGAGCCAGTACCAATTCTTCTGAAACTATTCCAAAAAAATCAAGGAAGAGGGACTCCTCCCTGACTCATTCTACAAAGCCAGCATCACCCTGATACCAAAACCTTGCAAAGACACAACAACAAAAAAGAAAACTACAGGGTGATATCCCTGATGAACATAGATGGAATCATCCTCAACAAAATACTAGCAAACTGAATCCAACAGCACACCAAAAAGTTAATAGGCAAAGTACATTAACAAACACTTCTTTTTTGTTTAGTTTTTGTTTTTTGTTTTTTTGAGACAGAGTTTTGCTCTTGTTGCCCAGGCTGGAGTACAATGGCGTGATCTCAGCTCACTGCAACCTCCACCTCCTGGGTTCAAGCGATTCTCCTGCCTCAGCCTCTCCAGTAGCTGGGACTATAAGCATGGGCCACCACACCCACCTAATTTTGTGTTTTTAGTAGAGATGGGGTTTCTCCATGTTGGTCAGGTTGGTCTCAAACTCCTGACCTCAGGTGATCTGCCCGCCTCAGCCTCCCAAAGTGCTGGGATTACAGGTGTGAGCCACCGCACCCAGCAAAACATACACTTTTTAAAAGAAAACATACAAGTATCCAACAAACATATGAAAAAATGCTCCAAATCACTAATCATCAGAAAAATGCAAATCAAAACCAAAATGAGATACTATCTCACACCAGTCAAAATGGCTATTATTACAAAGTCAAAAAAAAAACAAAAAACAGATGCCAGGGCTGCAGAGAAAAGGGAATACTTTTACCTGTTGTCCTTTTGTAGCTTCACTCACTTAGCTTTGGACTCCAAGCCCTCCCTAACTCTGGCAACTACCAATCTGTTCTCCATTTCTTTAACTTTGTCATTTCAAAATGTTATCTAAATGGAATCATATAGTATATGAACTTTTCAAATTGGCCTTTTTTCACTCAGCATAATACTGTGGAGATCCACCTATGTGTTTGCATGTATCAATAGCTTGTTTTTATTGCTGATTATTAGTCCATGGTTTGAATATATAACTGAATGTTTAACCTTTAACCCGTTATAAAGAACACCCGATTGTTTCCAGCTTTGTGCTATTATAAATAAAGCTGTTATAAATATCTATATACAGGTTTTTTAGTACACGTAAATCTTGATTTCTCTGGGACAAATGCCCAGGAGTACAATTGCAGGGTTGTATATGGGAGTTGCATGATTAGTTTTTAAAGAAACTGTCAAACTGTTTTTTAGAGTAACTGTACCATTTTGCATTCTATTCATCAATGTACAAGTGATCTCATTTCTCTACAATATTGCCATCATTTGGTATTATCAATTTTTTTTTTATTTTAACTCTTATGACAGGCACACTATGATGTCTCATTGGGGTTTTAGTTTGTATTTCCAAAATAGTTAATGATGTTGAACAACTTTTTATGTATTTATTTGCCATCTGTGTATCTTCTTTCGTGAAATGTCTCTTCATGTCTTTTGACCATGTTCTAATTTGATTGCTTGTTTTGTTGAGTTTTGGCAGTTCTTTTTGTATATTCTAGAAACTAGTCCTTCTTTGCATATGTGGTTTGCAAATATTTTCTCTCACTCTGTATCTTCTCTTTTCATCCTTTCAACAGGGTTTTTGCAGAGTAAAACTTTTAAATTTGAAGTTTCATTTATAATTTTTTCCTTTTTTGGATCATGTTTTTGGTGTCAAGTCTAAGAATGCTTTGCCTAGTCTTATATGCCAAAGATTTTCTCTTAGGTTTCTAAAATTTTATAGATTTGTATACTGTATTTAAATCTGTGATCAATTTTGAGTAATTTCTGAATAAATTGTGAGGTTTAGGTTGAGGTTCTTTTTCTTTTTCTTCCCTTTGTCTTTCTTCCTTTCTCTTTCTCTCTCTCTCTATCTCTCTGTCTCTGTCTCTCTCTCTCTCTTCCTCTTTCTCTCTTTCTTTCTGGATTTCCAATTGCTTCAACACCACTTGCCACTTATTGGAAAGGCTATTTTTCCTCCATTGAATTGCTTTGGTAAATTTGTCAAAATACCAATTGGGCATACTTGTATGAATCTATTTCTGGATTCTCTATTCTGTTCCATTGATTGGTGTGTCTATTCCTCTTGTCAGTGCTACACGGGTCTGATTACTATAGCTCTTTAAAAATTCCTAGAATCAAGAAGACTGATCCCTCTCAGTTTGTCTCCCTCCCCATACAAATTTTAGAATAGTTTCTTCCATATCTACTAAAGAAATTGCTGGGGGGGCTTTTGACAGGAATTGCATTAAAACTGTATGTAATTTTGGGGATAATTGACATCTTTCCTGTGTTGATTCATTCAATCTATGAATGTAGTATGCATCTTTATTCAGATTTTCTTTGATTTCCTTAATCATCATTGTGAACTTTCACCTTATAAGCACTGTACATGGTTTTTAGAGGTACTCTTAAGAATTGTATTTTTGAGCAATTTTAAGTGATGTTACATTTTTAATTTCAGTGTTCATGTGTTTATTGCTAGCATATCAATACAATTGATTCTAATATGTTTGTCTTGAATCCTGTAACCATGTTGACTTCAATTATTAGTTTTAGGAGTTGCCCACCTTGGTAGCTGACTTAAGAATGAATCTTGTGTTGGTTGCTTTCTGTTCCCAGCCTCAGCTCCCAAGTCCCCAGCTGCTGTTGTCTAAACTCCCAAAAAATTACTCGTACTTGAATACTTGCCTTAGTGTCTAGAGGGATCAAAATTAGGACTGCAGATTACCAAGGTCATATGACACAAATCACAATGTCATGCATTAGGTCCTCTCCTAATAGTTTTTCTTAGAAACAAGTGGTATAATCAGCGATGGACCACTAAATGTTTAACAACTAACACTCTGGAGGAAAGTAGCACCCTGATTTGTAGCATTTGCCAATTTCTATTATGTTAATGCTCTATCCATTGGTGACTGCAAGTTGCCAACCTGAAGTAAGTGAATTCTTAGTCATGAAGAGATGCATCCAACTGGCTTTGCAAGACAGTGTGAGCTGGTCCAAGCATACCATTAGCTTAAGCATCTCTTGAGAGAAGGTTATAGGACACCATTTTAAAAATTCTAATAGATACTAGTACAAGCCAGTTGAAAGTAAGCTATTGTGAATGTGAATTTCCATCTTTTTCTTTACATGTTGATTGATGGAGTTTGAAGATGAAATCCCAAACAAACAAAGGAGTATCAAAATGTTCTGATTCCACTATGTCATCATCAGATCACTGGCAAATATCCAGTCACTGTTCCAAAGTACTATTGAGTGCCAGCTGACTTTATAGAATGTGAAAAAATAAAGCAACTCTTATAGTCAAATGTAATTTCTTAGCCACCATAAGCATGACAGAAAACTATTCTTTTAATCATTGAAAAACTCTTGATCAATGAGCCCTAAAGACATTGATCCAATCCAGTGCTAAATCCTCCTACAGGAAAATGTGAACATGAGATTTTTCCAATAAGGGTCCACTGGAAAAAAAATAATAGTAATAGTTCATGAAGCGCTAGTAGCAGAAAGCTAACACTGTCGAGTTTTTCTCAACATACATGGTATGTAACTCTGTCTCCCCTCAGTGAACCCATTCAGACATGGCCTCAACAGAAATTTGTGGAAGTATATTTCCACCTAGGCATCACTGAAAAGCTAGTACTCTTCATTGTCTATTTCAGCGCATCAAAGATATATTACATTATTTGACCTAAGCAATTACTACATGTTTCAGGATGTTTTACTGCTGATAGATTATATAAAGAACACCCTGCAATTCACTAGGCAGTATTGGAAAATGCATGGGTATCCACTATTCTGTGTGTTTATAGGGAAAACAATATAAGAGGTAGCAAGTTCAACTTCATATTAGATATGCTGGCATCTTTTTAAAAATGTTTGGAGGATTCAGGCTCATGTTCATAATATATAGATACTAATATCTCAAGTGATAATGAAACAACATGACTTCCTACAAATCAGCAACATAGAAAGATTAAAAGTTGTAGGAAATTGGAACTTCCCCAAAATTCAAAAGTCAAAGATAAACCAGTTCCTCCAGTGTTCCTGGCTTAATAGAGTGGCTTTATATAACAACTGCTCAACAGAAAAACAAACTCAATGCATTAAATCTCAACAACTGCAGTTTTCTGGCTTTACCATCTTGCTGGGTATACTTCTCAAAAGACAAAGCCTAAACTTCATCTCAAAGCAAGGTGGTCTTTCTGATCACGTTGAAATATTCTATCAAAGAGCAAAAAGCTTTTGAAGGCTGCAGTAAGTTTTAAAAGTAAAAGAGTGAACAACCTGGTACTATCCATTATTGTTTTAATGTAGGGCAAGCAGGTAACTCTTGCTGCTGGTGGGCATGAAGAAAAGATCATTTTTAATCCTTTGTTTCAAAGAATGTATAAGAATGCCATTTATTACAATAGCCATGATAAAAGGAAAGTGGTCCTCCAGTAAGAACTGGTCATCTCTTTGACTGAATCATTTTCAATATTCTTGAATATTGTGTCATGCTGAAAATACAGATCATGTGGGTTATCCACGCTGTGGTATAAAAGCAAGAAATCTGTAATAGAGACAGGCCAGCTGTAGACCTAAATCAGCTGTCTCTCAATGATATTAAGCATCTTCTGTGGGATATTCGCCAGGTTTAACTGAATGGGAGATGGTGGGTGAACAAGCACCAAATAGGTGAGTCTTTGACTATAACCCCCTCTGGGCTCTATGGCCAAGTGTGGCAGATCCCAGAGTGAACACACAATGATAATGTTGTAGCTGGGGATCATTTGCCACAGCAAACAACCCTGTCGTATTTGACAATGTTTGAGATAAATTTCTCTCCCTTTATTGAAATATGTTGAGAAAGACTGACCAGTTTAAGGACACACAGAACATTGTGTAATTCCTAAAGGTTGTATCCTTTGTACTGGAAAGAAACCCTGAGCTAGAATTTCAAGAAAAAGTGAATCTAGACAAAATGACAAAATCTTTTATTCTTTTCACACACCATTAATGATGAGCAACTTTGAGTTCCTTTACCATTATAAAGGAGGATGCCTGTCCATTCACTCATTTGTCTTATCAATTTCTCAGTCAGTGAATAGACACAGCTCTCCTGTGCACCAGGCATTAGGGAAGAAAGGTGAGCAAAACAGACATGGTTCTTTCATACATTAATTTTATCACCTGCTGTACAAAACATACATCTCAAAAGCTAAATTAAACTTAACTTAGTCATGTCCAATGAGCACATGAACAGACTCTCAATATTATTAGCTAATCAGAGAAATGCAAATCAAAACCACAACGAGATACCACAACTTCTAGAGTGACTATAATTTTAAAAAATAGATAATAATAAGTGACAAATGGTGAAGATGTATAGAAATTGAAAGCTGTACACATTGCTGGTGGGAATGTAAAATTTTCAACCTCTGAAAAACAGAATGTTTCTCAAATAGTTAAAGTTACCATACAATCTAGCGATTGCACTCCTAGGTGTATGGCCAAAATAATTGAAAACATATATTCATGCAAAAATGTGTACAAAAATATTCATAAAAGTATGATTTATAATATCCAAAGAGTGGAAATAACCCAAATTTCCATCAACTGATGAGCAGATAAACAAAATGTAGTACAATAGAATATTATTCAACTACAAAAATCAGTGAAGTACTGATACCTGCTGTAGCATGGATAAACCTTGAAAACCGTATGCTAAGAGAAGGAAGCCAGACACAAAAGGCCACATGTTGTATGATTCTATTTATAATGAAATGTCCAGAATAGGCAAATTGTAAGAGACAGAAAGTAGATTTGAGTTTGGTAGGAGCTGGGAGGAGAGACTGTGGTCACTGCTAATGGATAGAGTTTCTTTTAGGGATGATGAAAATATTCTGGAATTAGAGAGTGGTGATATTTGCATAACTTTGTGAATATACTACAACAAAAACAGTGCTTCTTAGTATATTCACAAAGTTATGCAAACATCATAACTTTTTTTACCTATTAAAACATACTTTCTTAATAGGTAAAATTTTATGATATGTATTTTATGGTATTTTTCAATGCAACATTAATCTAAAATTCAAACAACATAATCTATCAATATATTAGTACATTTAAATAATTTGCAGATAGATCTACATTGTTACAGTGTATACAAAAT